>NC_000004.12:131648653-131951684 GCF_000001405.40 Homo sapiens | reverse complement strand
AGAGGACTATAATAAAGCATTCAAAGAACGTGACATGCCTCTGGGGCAACTGAAGGATTGCTATCTGACTTATGCATTTAAAACCTTCGAAGTGGAAGTTTGTCTGGAATGGCTTAGGCAAACAGACTGGGTTGGATTGAGAATTGAATGTATACATAAAATTTGGTTTGATCACATGAGAACACCAAATGTGGCAGCTAGATCACCGTTATTTATGAAATTTTTATTGGGTTGATTTGCCTTGAAAGAATCAAATCTAAGAGAAATGTTTGGAATGGCTAGATGATCCTAACAGAAGAAATCTTACAGGTCTTTACTGCTAAACCTAAGGAGATGAGAGTAAACAGTAAGTGGCCAACTCAAGGAAGCATGGACTATGTTGAAACATGGACTATAGCTGCAATTTCCCAGTGGTGCAGTTTTCAAGCGTTTTACCGCAGGAAAGAAAAAAATAAATAAATGAAAAGTAGCCATTTCACCATTCAGAGGATAGATACTGTTGCCCAGTGAAAACTACATGAATTATGTAATAGTTTTATGCTTGTTTCCCCCACTCACCATTCCAAAACTGTAAGAGTTCAAGATAGCACAGGAGGTATGAAATTTTAACAGAACATAAAAAAATAGTGAACATTCTATCCCCGCACTTCATTGCCATTACTAAGGCTAAGGCAGGACTGAGTTTAGAATGCAGCAAAGCTTTGAAATGTATAAAAGATAATATCTCTAATATTCAAATGCACCATAAACTCAAAACTTAGAATCAATCCTATTTTTAAAATACTGAATGTGACAAGAAACATAAAAGTTTTCAAGATATCAGATATGATAGAAAGAGATGTATTGCTTTAGCACAAATCATTCTACAAAAAATCAATTCTTCTAAAATAAATTACTTATCCATATCCTACAAATTTTCTTTTTTCTTTTTTTTTTTTTTTTTTTTTTGAGACAGAGTTTCACTCTTGTTGCCCAGGCTGTAGTGCAGTGGCTTGATCTCAGCTTACTGCAAACTCTGCCTCCCGGGTTCAAGCAATTCTCCTGCCTCGGCCTCCCAAGTAGCTGGGATTACAGGTGCCAGCCACCACGCCCAGCTATTTTTTTTGTATTTTTAGTAGAGATGGGGTTTCACCGTGTTGGCCAGACTGGTCTTGGATGCCTGACTTCAGCTGATCCACCTGCCTTGGCCTCCCGAAATGCTGGGATTGCAGGAGTGAGTTGCCGTGCCCAGCCACAAATTTTCTTTTACCTTGGAAAACATATATGCAAATATACTTGTCAACTATCCGACAAAGGTCTTCAGTATGTATGTATGGATTCATTGAACATTGTTTCTTTTTACATAATGAATATTTTATGATTTTTAGCTTTGGTTTTTTGAAATGAACCAATAAATTGAAGAGACACAAGAAGTAATGTGTGTGTAAATACCAGCACGCTTAGCCCCTCAAATAAACCTCTTACAGGTGTCTGACTCCTAAATCCAATTTGACATTTTTTCAGAACTTGTCTTTATCAATTATTTACATTCTGCTTTATTTTCTGATTTGTTTTTTTACTTTCACACTCACTTATCATTGTTTTACACAATAGTTGTTTACTACAGTAACAATTACATCTGACATAAATGTACTGAGGAACAAAACAACCATCTTATGGCATACAAATTAGCAGTGGGAGAAGGCTAACCCCAAACATATGCCAAGCCAGGGGCCAGGAAATCCAGGGATGTGGTTAGGCAGAAACTGGGAAGACACTTTATAGCGATTCCTATCTTTGTTACAGACATGAAGGAGATAAATTATAATATGAAAAAACGGCCCTCCCAGTCCTAAAGAGATTAACTAAAAGTCTAGTACCTTTTAAAGACCTGAATAGGAAACACTTGTCATTTATTATCTCTAAGGGCAGCCACTGTAAGATTTCAAAAGAACCTTGGTCTCCACAATCTTTTATCTTAACCTGAACATTCCCTTTCTATCAATCCCAGGTCTTGAAACAAACTCAACCAATTATCAACCAGAAAATGTTTAAATTCACCTATAGCCTGGAACCAACCCCCAAACCTCAATACCCTCCCATCCCCCAACCCCCCTGCCACCCCCAACCCCTCCCACCCCCACTCCCTCTGCTTTGAGTTGTCCACCTTTCTGGATCAAACTGATGTATTTCTTAAGTGTAGTTAATTGATGTCTCATGCCTCTCTAAAATGTATAAAAGCAAGCTGCATCCCAACCACCTTGGGCACATGTTCTCAGGACCTCCTGAGTGCTGTGTCACTGGCCATGGTTACTCATATTTGGCTTAGAATAAATCTCTTCAAATATATTTTTTTAAAGAAGAAAGAAAAAGGAAAAACAAATGCTTTTGCAGAAGCCAAGAAGAAAGTGAAGGGAAATAAATGAGAGTGGAAAAATGAGAGCTCAATTGTGGTGAGATATGCTTTTTTTGGCAATTAATTGCAACAAGTGTCCAAAATGCCAATTATAACATAGTTTGCTATCTACCATTGCTTTATTTAACTGAAGTGTTCAACCATAGATATGGAAAAAAGACTAACCTAGTTTAGAAAAGTTCTATCCTGATAAATTTAAGCACTGGGACTATATACACCAATAAAAACACAAACTTACTTTTCTTAAAAAACTTTTACTGAGTCAAATATTAAAAGAGAACATTTGTTTGTAAGGCATCTGATGAAGATGATTTTTCATTTTTCAGTCCTTCAGTAACTAATAATCTTTATTTTGACTTTGATGGTTATCTGATGGAAGAATAACTGCAAGATATTAATAATAGAAATCATTTGCATCAGCCGGGTACAGTGGCTCGCTCCTGTAATCCCAGAACACTGGGAGGCCAAGGTGGGCAGATCACTTCAGCCCACGAGTTGGAGACCAGCCTGGGCAATGTGGCAAAACCTTGTTTCTACTAAAGATACAAAAATTAGCTGGGCATGGTGGCATGTGCCTGTAGTCCCAGCTACTCAGGAGGCTGAGATGGGAAGATTGCATGAGCACACTGCACTTCAGCCTGGGCAACATAGTAAGATCCTGTCAGAAAAAAAAAAAATCATTTGTGTCAAATGATTTTTTGTATCAAAGCTTTCAGAAAAAGGAGTGGAAAGAAAATTTAAAAAGCTTTTGTCCATCATTCTTAGATGTCATATTCAATTAAATATTTCTTCAGACTTAATAAAAAAATTGAACAATAATAACAAGTGTGATTTTATTTCCATTAACCTGAAATTTACTGCTATTTCAAATTCTACTCAATGTAGAGTTTTTAAGATTAAAAACAAGAAATATTAAATAGAAGTTACAATATTTTTGAAGTAATTGATGAGAATTTGTTTAATAGTGCCTATGTATTTGGTAATTTGATCTTAGTTCTACAAATTTCACTATCACAAACTCTTCCCTGTCCATTACCTCAGCTACAAGATTTATCAGACTGTCAATGATAACTATGTCACATATGGTAGTGCCCTTTGCTTTAATGAGGGTGATTAGCTAAAATTGATGTTCATTGCCTTAATACAGACATACTATATTTAGATATATTTAACTCTATTACACATACTGCAAACACATACACTTGTTGTCTTCTACACTATTATATATTTTACTTGTTATAGTAGATATTTATTTTAGATGAATAACTAAGTATAATAAAATAGAGAGCAGAGGAATTAATTATCTCATATGGATATCATTTCACCTGATCTTGATGAACAAGGAAATGGGTGATTTACCCAGGAATAAATATAAAGTTCTGTATGGTTTGGAAAGCACAAATGGTCACCTAATTTTGAAACACTTTAGGTAAATTGCCATTCAGAAAAACATTTATCACTTATGTAACTAATGAAATGCTTAGGGGAAAGTGTTTTGGCTGACAAAGAACCATACTTTGCTTTTAGAGACTATGTTTGTATTTGAATACTTCATAAAAACTATTTCTAAGCCAAGGAGAAAAAAAAACTAAATAAAAAGGCAAGATCTATTTTTGAAAGTGAAATATTTACATATAACCGTAGTTAGAAAAGAAGTGGAAATCAGTATGTGATTTCAGATGATTGCGTATTTTATAACTATTAGGGATAAAGTGCATTAGAGCTTCCTGTTGCCAGTTGCTGAGAGGCTTTGATTCAGAGGTAGCATCTGTACAAAAAGATACTGCCATTTTTATGGTAAATGCTTTTTCAATTGAACTAGAAAGTAAATAGTCACACATTTTGAAAAAAATATGAATTTTTAAAAGTCTGTGTTTGAACATCAATAAAGAAACCAACGTAACTATGAATTAAGAGAAATCTAGAAATACTTTATTTAAACAAAAACATTGCAAACATTTATGTCATAATATTTACTTTCTTAAAATAAAAACAAAGCAGTTGGAGATTTAATTCACTATAAGAAAGAAAAGTTTTTGTACATAATGTTTTCTAAGGTAGTAAATGTAAACCGAAGTAACATGGCATGGAATGAAAATAAATTACTGAGAATAGCTTTGTATTGATTACATATGTTCTGAAATTTTTCCGTATTGAAACAAATCTACACAGTGGAGGAAAATATGTACTTAAAAGTGGCATCTGATGTGATTAGTGTATTACATACACACAAATTTGCAATAGTCTCTGAAGAGAAAATGAGATTTCTACCTTTTCCATTTCCAATTCAGTCCAGTCATTTTGGTGTATTTCTCTGATAGTGTCTCTATTAAAATGTAATTTATTTTATTTTATTTCTATAAATTTATGGAGTGCAATTGTAATTTTGTTACATCCATAGGTTGCATAGTGAAGTCAGGACGTTCAGCATATTCATCACCTGAAAAGCATACCTTGTACTCATTAAGTAATTTCTTATCATTTACTCGCCTCTCACTCTCCCGCAACCGTTCCAAGTCTTCATGTCCAAGTCTCTATCATTGCACACTCTATGTCCATGTGAACGCATTAATTACCTCCCATTTATAAATGAGAACACGCAGTATCTGTCTTTCTGTGTCTGACTTTCATCTAAGATAATGTCCTCCAGTTCCATCCAAACTGCTCCAAAATACATGTTTCATGAGTATATTATTTTTAAAGGCTGAATTGTATTCCATTGTGTATATCATCATATTTTCTTATTTTTAGGCGGAAATGTTTTTTATTATACTTTAAGTTCTGGGGTACATGTGCAGAACTTGCAGGTTTGTTATGTAGGTATACACGTGCCATAGTGGTTTGCTGCACTCATCAACCTGTCATCTACATTAGGTCTTTCTCTAAATGCTATCCCTCCCCTAGCCCCTCACCCTCTGACAGGCTGTGGAGTGTGATGTTCCCCTCCTTGTGTCCATGTATTCTCATTGTTCAACTCCCACTTATGAGTGAGAGCATGCAGTGTTTGGTTTTCCGTTCTTGTGTTAGCTTGCTGAGAATGATGTTTGCCAATTTCATTCATGTCCCTGCAAAGGACATGAACTCATCATTTTTTATGGCTGCATAGTATTCCATGATGTATATGTGCCACATTTTCTTTATCCAGTCTATCATTGGTGGGCATTTGAGTTGGTTCCAAGTCTTTGCTATTGTGAACAGTGCTGCAATAAACATACGTGTGCATGTGTCTTCAGAATAGGATGATTTATAATCCTTTGGGTATATACCCAGTAATGGGATTGCTGGGTCAAAAGGTATTTCTAGTTCTAGATCCCTGAAGAATCGCCACACTGTCTTCCACAATGGTTAAACTAATTTACACTCCCACCAACAGTGTAAAAGCATTCCTATTTCTCCACATTCTCTCCAGTATCTGTTGTTTTCTGACTTTTTAATGATCGCCATTCTAACTGGAGTGAGATGGTACCATCTCACATTTTCTTTATCAAATCATCTATTGGTGGACACTCAGGTTGATTCAGTATCTTTGCTACTGTGAATAGTGCTGTGATAAGTGCTGGTATGTTTATGATATAAGGATTTCAAATAGACTGTAAGAGGGTAAAAAGTTTCCACTGAACTTTGGACTGGAAATATGATAAGAGAAGATCCTTTCACTAATAGAGGCAGAGCGTTAAGAGATAAAATCAATAACTAATTTTACGCTGCACTAAACAGGGAAGAAAGAGAAAGTGAGTAAAAAACAAGTTTTGTGGTTGGCCAGGTTTTGGATTACATAACGAAAATAGACAAACATACTTTATTAAGCATATTGCATAACCTATACTACTTTCAGCTGATTTATATTCATTTAATCCCTCATTCAACTTAATATAATACCCTCCTTTCCTTCCTGGCTTTCTACCTGCCTGTTCTCATTCATTAACTTATTTTAGCCAATGAGTCATGAGTAGCTACTCTGTTCAGGCATTGTTCTCAGTTCTAGTGATACAGTAGTATACAGTTTTAACAAAATATCTGCCCTCATGAAGCTACATTTTAGAGGAAGGAACTCAGTGAATAAGTCAACAGAAAAATATAAAATATTTTAGAATACAAATAATTGGTATGAAGGAAAACCAGTCAAATGAGGGGTAAGACATATTCAAGGTAGAGAACAATCTACAATTACACTGAGCCCTGAACAAAGAGAGAAAATAAGCTATACATAAATTTGGGGAAGAACATTTCAGGAAGAGGGAAGTTTACAGGCTCTAATGAAATCAAAAAGCAAGTGTATTCCAAAAAGAGCAAAAAATCATTATGCATGAAATTGAATTGAATGAGCAATGAGAAGAATAGTAAAAATGAGGTCAAACAATAATCTAGAGCTAGATCAGAAAAAAGTCTAAAAGCTAAAATGAAGATATGCATCTTATTCTAAAGTGTGAAGAGATCTGATCAGGAGAACTGCATGATCTGATTACTGTTTCAAAATAAGGATTCTTGATGCTATTTGGAAAATGATGGCCTACTATAATGATAAGAGATTATTTTAAATATGTAGTAATGAGATAAAATGACATGAATGAATGTTTTTATTTATAATGAGCATACCAGTGTGTAGCCTCTTTAGTACTTGTATACTTGGAAGCAGTTTATTCTCCGAAGTTTTTTTTTTTTATTTCTTCTCTAACTTGTTTATTCTTTTTAAATTTAATGTCAATATAATGTGTTTTAACTTTAAAAATTTAGGTGCTTTATGAGTGGAATCTCAGTTGAAAAATGTTATTATTCAGTAGGTACTAAATTGAGTTCCTGTTTTACTTTACAAACCAAGCACCATAGGTTATTACAGAAAATCATTATGAGTCAAATTTTTTAAAAGTTACTTCAGTGAAGTAGACATTACAAAAGTTATATTTAAACACAGCACTATGAACTCAAGTCACAGAGGCAAAGAGAAACTATTGTATTTGCTTTGAGCATCTACACATTGTAAAAAAGGTTATTGAATGCAATTCAAATCTAACTTCATTTGAGGATAACCCCAGGCACTTTGTGTCTGTATTTCTCGTAGTTTTGTACTGACTATTGGAAACTCATTCAGTTTTGCCTTAAAGCACCCAGTAACCTATGAACAAAATGCATAAAAACTATTACATAATGTTTAGCCTCTGTAGACCAAACACAACAGGTATATGCAATTGCATAGTGCTGATGACTCACAAAAAAACAAAACAAAAAACTCTGTCCTCAGACTGATTTGTGAAAATAACTATTTAATCTAAAAATAAACTAAAGAGTGAAAATGAGAGTTAGCAAATAGAGTTGAAGGTGTGTGTCAAAATGGATTGTATTTTATATAGCCTTTTACTATAATTATTCTTATAACAGGGCTTGTTTTCCTCTATTAGACTGCAAATGTGTTGGTTACTGAGGCAGTTGCACTTGTTTTTGTATCACTTATGAAACCTAGTATAGTGCTTTGCATTACAATAATGATTCATTAGATATTATATGAATGATTTGAATTATATTTCGTAGTAGCTCAAAGTTAGTTTTGATGGATAAATGAATGTAATACAGCCATATACATTATTAGTTAAGGAACTTAATAATATCATGAAGTATCTTTAACCAAAGTAATAATTAAAAAGTAGGAGTAAACAATAATAAGTTCAAATTTAGAATTTGATAGATAATGGAGATTACTTTTTAGGCCTAAATATTGAAGGATAGATGTTTATGAAACTTTGAGGTTCAAATTATTTGTAGAAATGTTTATTTAATATTATACTCAAGATATTAAAATGACAACAATAGGAAAATGTATAAGAGATTTGTTAAACACATCCTGAAAGCATGGAAATAACCATATATCTTAGCCTAATGCATGAAATAGTATAGCAAATATAAGCAGGATGTTTTTATTTTTATTTTAAAATTGTGTTTATCACTGGATAGGGATAATAAATTTATTCTATTTATTTTTTGCTGTTAAACATATACTTTAATAAACTAAACATATTTGTTTCTGCAGTGGATGGAAATATGTTTGTCACAGGTAAAATTGTCACTTGGGTAAATTTTATCTCAAGCAACTCCTTTTTAGTTTTAATACTTTCTATGTTGCCCAAATCAAGTCTTATTTCCATGAATCACTGTTTTATGTAATAATTTTCTTGGTGGGGTCAATTTACATAGTTTTGGTACTTTCATGTCAGATTGCTAAGGTAGTATAATTTAGTTTAGAGGAAGAATTTCTACACAGATCATGTAATTGTCTCTTCATATTGTATCAGGGTAAAATCTATAAAAAACAAAATTGGTTTGAGAACAAAGCTGTCATTACTTGCAAGATGTAAACAGAAAAATTACATGTGTTTATTGAAACACAGAAGTATATTCCTGTGCAAATTAACTCAGATTCTGAAGTGAAAGACAGGACTTTTGAGAGATTTTGAGTCCAAGGGTTCACCTCTTCAAACACAACTGAAAAAATTCTAATTTTTTTATTTTTAAATCTAATCAGTTTATATATGCCCAGGTCCAGCAAAAAAAGCTGGGTTGATGATGTGTTTTGCAGTTATTCCAGCTAGTTTGAAAGAGTACCTGGCAGTGATTGTGAAGACCAGTGATTATGCTACTAAGGTCTCTCAATTGCCAGATCCCCACCAAGTATTTTTTAAATAAGCTGTTGTGTTTTGAAACTCAAAACCTCGTATTTTTGTTAATCTAGTTACCTGCCAAACCAAACAGGAATCCAAGGTTTCATAACCCTGCTGTGTCCTCTGGTTACTAGAAATAAGCAAATTTTTGATGTTTTAACAACCTTTTAAAATAATAATTTCTAATAATGAAATAGAATATTTCTATTTTAAGTAGCTATTGGGTATATCTTTACATAACTAGATGATTATGTTAAATGGGTTTTTTAGATGAATGATGTGCATGGGTAGATATTTTTAAAATGAAATATGTTTTTTCCTTTTTTACTTAAATTTCTTTTTAGAACATACTGTTATGAACATTAACATTTATTCAAGTCCTTGGGACAATTCTTCTTCAGTTACCCAGTTAAAATTTTCATGATCTCTGCAAAACACAGATTAGAAATATAAAATAACATAAATTTTAGAATACAGTGAGATGACTTACACAACAATTTGATAATATTTTATATAATATTTTATGATTAACCAGTTAACTGAAACCTAAAAACATGTATCAACTGATTAATATTGTAGCAAAATGTCAGTTCATGTTATTGTATCAATCACTTGTGGATACATGATTATGCTGTCGTGATATGATTTCTAACAATTGTCTTGTCATTTTTAGCTTTTAATATTATAATTTTAATTAGAATATATGAAAGTCACTATATCATAACAGACTTTATATTGTGCCATGCAGTCCTATTGCTCTTTTGTTTCAAATATCATATAGTCTAAAGCAATGATTCTCATTAAATACATGCATCAAAATCAACTGCAGTTATTACATGCTAACTCAAACTTACAAAATCAAGCTCTCTGAGATCCTGGTTAATATATCTAAGTACTTGAGCCAATAATCCAAGTACTTTGGGGGGCCGAGGTGGGAGGATAGCATGTGGCCAGAAGTTCAAGACCAGCCTGGGCAACATAGTGAGACTCCATCTCCACAAAAAAATGTTAAAAATCATCCAGACACGGTGGTGCATGACTTAGGTCGAACTACTCAGGAGGCTGAGAAAGGAAGATTACTTTAGCCCAGGAGTTCAAAGGTGCAGTGAGCTGTGACTGCACTCTGGCCCGTCTCAAAAAAAAAAAAAAAAAAGGGAAGAAAAGAAAAAAAGAAATAAAAAGGTATACACATTTTTTTTTTCTGAAGTGGATGGAAATATGTCATGTCAGAGGTAAATTGTGACTTGAGTAAGTTTTATGTTGAGCAACTCTTTTTGTTTACATTTTCTATGTGGCCCAAATTAAGTCTTATTTTCATAAATCACTGCTTTACGTAACAACTTTTCCTGCAGCCCTGGGTGTGGTGGCACACAGTTGTAGTCCCAGGTACACTGGACGCTGAGGCAAAAGGATCATTTGAACCCAGAACTTCAAGGTCAACCTGGGCAACATAGCAAGATCCTATCTGTAACAAAAATTTTTTTAATGGTAATTCTCATGCAAAATTCAGTTTGCACAGTTTTAAAAAATGAAACACTTATAAGAGCATGCTCATGAGGCAATTCTGACATGGTGTCAAGCCATTTAAACTTAGATATAACCTAGGATTTAGGATCCTTGCTATTGTTTACATAGTAAGTCCACATTTAATGTCAGTAGATTATTGGAAACTGCAACTATAAGCAAAACGGTGAACAATGAAACAAATTTTACCATAGGCCAATTGATACAACAAGAGTTAAGTTCCTACTGCGTATTTCTGGTCACAATATTATCACTGTACTTCTAAATGAAGACTAAAACACTTATAACATTCAACATTGAAATAAGTGTGAGGTATATATACATTTTTTAAAAGAGTAATAAAAACAAGTAAGATGATTATTTACCCAATTAATCCAGTTCAGAGTCCCGGGTGGCAAGAGCCTATTCTTACTCAGCATGCAATGCAGGAACAAACTCTGCACAGGATACTATTCCATGGCAGGGCATGACCACATTCACTCACATTGGGACACACAGTGGGGACATGCCAATTAACCAGACATGCACATCTTGGGGATGTGAGAGGAAGCAGGAGTTCCTGGAGAAAACCCATGCAGGCATGGGGAGAACATGCGGACCCTACACAGACGGTAGCCCTGTCCAGGAATCGATATTTATTCTCATCTACATTATAGCAAAACAACATTGAACAGAACAACTTTATCTGAGGACCTGTTTTACTTGTACATCTTTGGGAAAATCTTTTAACTTTTATTACTCATAATGTTCTTCTCAATAAAAGTGTGTTAAGAATACATATTTCAGGAGGTTTTTTGAGACAATCAAATGTGGCAATGCATGCAGAATTAATAGCCCATAAGGCATTTTATACAGTATGTTCTTAGTAATCTATTTTTAATTGATAATTGCTTTATAAAATAATCTCATTACTTTTGGTATAAAGGATAACATATTCCACTAATACTGTGAAGTTTCAGTGATATAAACACTTAGAAATCGTCTGCTCTGTTATGGAAAAAAACATCTAGAAGTATCTTTCAGATTGAAAAATGTTTTTAAGGTGCTGGAATAACGGTACCTCTTGCAGATTTGTCTAGCATTACCCAGTGTTTGTGATTGCTGAGTAATATTAGCGAAATAAGTATGCAAATCTTTTAATAACTGAATAGAATCCTTCCCTGAACAATTTCCCAGGTGTTATTGCTGTTGCTATCTTATTAAATATTCAATGCCATCTATTATATCCTATACAGAGTCAAATAATAAGCTTACATAAACTAATATTTAATATAATACTAATAAATTTAAGATGATATAAAGCAGAATAAAATAACATTTCAGAATAAAAAGACTTTGAAGCTTCCCTGTATTACTCGATAAGATTTAGGTACAGTCTCAAGAAAACATTTTTTTTTTCCTTCTTCTGCATCAGCTCATCTACAAACCAATTTATTTCTGAAATAGGCCCCAGGGGCAGGCTGGTTGGTGACTGTAATGGGGGATATCTGACTGGCCACACAAGGAAATTGCTATGGACTTTTAATCTTATTTTGATTAAGTTCTGTGCAGATTGTGTCTGCCAGGCTAGCACTAAGATTACTGTTTCTGAGATCCTTTGGCTGCTATCAGACTGGACTCAATTTTTTTTTCTACATTTTCAAGGTTAAGTTGAAACAGTATTACCCATTATTTATAAATGGTAAATGTTTAGGTTTTGCCTTGTGTTACAAACTAGAATGTTAATAAAAATACTATATTTAACAAGTTGCAAGTTTATGAAAGTCATTGTTTTTGAAAGAAAGTTTTAGATTAAAAAAAAACAAAAGAAAGGAAAACAAAAATCCTTTAAGGGGAAACAACATCTTTATGTGTTTAAAGTTTCAAAAGGTAATTTATAAAGAAATCAAATCTAGTTAAAAATAACTAATCAAAGATGAATATTTAGTGTAGAGGAACATGGATATGGATAAACTGTAGGATATTTTATTTATCTTTTTCTTTCAGCAAAGATCTAACCAAAATTAGAGAAATGATGTGTTTTATTCTAGAACCATCACAATACAAACAATAATATGTTGTTTTTCATCTTGTATTGGATAAACACTATTAATCCCATTAATCCATTCCTCTTTGCTTCTTCAATTAAAATTCCGTGTATTATATAAATACCTCCCTCTACCCTCTGCAGTGTAGGAGAATCAAGGAAATCT
Source organism: Homo sapiens (assembly GCF_000001405.40). Taxonomy (NCBI): domain Eukaryota; kingdom Metazoa; phylum Chordata; class Mammalia; order Primates; family Hominidae; genus Homo; species Homo sapiens. Next base: position 131,938,923 of record NC_000004.12, on the reverse strand, counting down.
CATCCCACCTCCCGAAACAGAGATGTACCCTGCATGTACCTTGCCAATGATGGCAACTTCTTTTCCTTTGTCGAGATATAATAGAAACCCCAGGTTGACACCATTTAATTCATGATATCACTTCCAGATTGATATTGGTGGAAAGGTGACTTAATCTGGCTAAATCAGATGCAAGAGATGGACTTGTGTTCTATTATTAGAATATAAATTTCTTGTCTTTCTGTATATGAATAGCAAAGCATGCTGCAACAATTGTTCTTATCAGCAAAGAAAAATTCTGATAAGCACCTGGAAATACAGCACCCTGAGGAAGCCCTCATTCCTCAGGACTTGATAAAAGAATTCATTATTATTAAAGCAAGTTAAGAGCCAGGATTACTGTTACTTGTCTTGAAAGCATGTTGACATTTCCATTGTTCCATATGCCTTGTCAGAATGATCTCTGGCTTAGGGAAAACTTTTCAGGTATCTGCTCTAGCACACTGGTGTGAAAAATGTGTAAAGGGAGAGGTGATAGCTTGATCCTTAGTGCTGTTAGACATCACGTGGGTCTTAGATAGCTCGAATCATCAGGTCACTTTTTTCAGCCATGAGTAGTATGCTCTACAGCAGTTATTAACTTATATAAATGCTATAGATTTAAAAATGGCAGTGAAGTGCTAATTCAGAGTATCTGATTTATAATTCAGAGCAATTCAATGGGTCATAGTTAAGTTGGCAGGAGTATTCTAGTTATCTCTCCAAATATAATAATTTTAAATATTGTCCACACAAGGAAAAAACCTAACATCTTTCTCCATATCCTTAAAACTCCAGATATGAATTTGATCATGCAGTGTTTGTCTTTCTGTGCCTGGCTTATTTCACTTAACAAAATGTCCTCCAACTTCATCCACATTGCTAAAAATAACAGCATTTTATGGCTGAATATTGTTCTGGTGTGTGGGGGGGTGGATAGATAGATGATAAATAGATAGATGATAGATGACAGATAGATAGATAGACAAATAGATAGATAGATAGATATTTATACACCACATTTTCTTTATCCATTTATTGTTAGATGAGCATTTAGGCAGATTCCATATTGAATGATGCTTCAATATCCCTGGGTGCAGATGTCTCTTTGACATACTAATTTCATTTTTTTTGATTACGTACCCAGTAGTGGGATTGCTGGGTAATACAATAGTTCTCTTTTTTATTTTTTGTGGAACCTCCATACTGCTTTTCATAACAGCTATACTATTTTATATTCCCACCAACAGTGTATAACATTCCTCTTTCTCCACATTATTGTTTCCATTTGTTATATTTTGTCTTCTTGATAATATCCATCATTTAAACTGGGGTAAGGTAATAGCTCATTGTGGTTTTGTTTTGCATTTTTCTGAGGCTTAATGATGTTGAGCATTTCTTTATATATTTTTGGCCATTTGTATGTCTTCTTTTGTCCATTTTTTAATCAACTTTTTCTTTTGCTATTGAGTTTTTTGAGTTCCTTATATATTCTGGATATTAAACCTTGTTGAATACATAGTTTGCAAACATCTTATCCTGTTCTGTAATTGTCTCTTCGTTTTATTGATTGATAAGAAGTAGGTTAATTGTGCTATATAAGTGCAAACTTTGTCTAAAGGAGAATATGTGTTCTTTGAAGACAAATGTCCATTTGTCAAGCTCCCCAGTACTTTCTTTTATGTAGGAATGCCAATATAGGGCCTTTCCGTTTTGAAGCTGTTTGTGAGTAGATTTTTCTCTTCCCACCACCTGGAGGCTAAAATGTAAACCAGAGACCCAAGAATAGCCACTCATTCCTTGCATTTTTAACCTTGCAAGGTAAGAAGTAGGCAGAGAGTCTGAAATTACTCCTGTCAGATGGATAGGTTTTTGGAATCCAATGGTAAAGTGGGAAGTGACAAGCTAAAGCAGAGCCCAGCAGCATTCCGGAAAATGCCTGTGCATGCTTTGCTGGCAGTGGCCAGCGGTCATGACTGACAGGACAATAGCCACATGAAAAGCAGAACTTCCTTTTTCTGATATTGGTTCTGACTTGCTCTCTGAATCCTGCCTGAGCCTGGTTCACCTACTTTTTTGTCAATTCTAAAAGCTGTGTTGTGCTTTTCCAACGCATTCATTTTTGCTTGCTTTAAATTCCAAGTAATTTCTATTGTCTTTAACCAACTGCCTACCTAAAATAATTATTAAATATATAGCTAAAACACTAAATTAAATAAACTTACATTGTTTTCCTTGCTGTAAGAATTCTCTAAGCCTTTCTTATTTTAATATGCATCATGAACCTCCAGTTGAGGCAATGTGCAACACATTTTGAGAGACATGATCTACCTGTTGGAATCTTAACATTTAGAACAGATATATTGATCAGTGTATAATTTTTGGATTATCAAAGATGGGAATAAAATTGAGCTATAATACATAAAATAAGAGGATTGATATATGTTTGTTTTTTCACTCCCCATCTCACCTGCTACTTCTTTATGGATAACAGTTATCCCACTTGATGGGGTTTTTCTCTTTTCATCCATTACTTTTTTATTTAAAGTATTCCCTCTCCTAGGATGTAAGTTTCTATAGACTGAAATGTTGTTATTTAATGGTAATAAGCCTTATTTTCAGGCTGCTTTACAGAATTTTGGCTTTGTCTTTTGTTTTCTTCATTGTACTTTTCTTACTCCACTCAGAATTTGTTGACCTGCTTAAATCTGCTTATATCTGTCTTCAATCAGTACTAAAAACATTCTCTATTATTTCCTTAGTTATTGCCTTTGTCTCCCTTTTCCTGGTAAAGTTTAGACATATATTAACGTTTAACTCTATCCTTCATATCTTGAAACTTTTCTTCAATAATTTATTTTCTTTCTTCCTACTGTACTTCATTAATTTTCTAGTAATTCTCTGTTACTTCTAGCAGGTATTTCCTTTCTAAATCTACCATGATCATATTTGTATTTTCCTGTGTGCATCTTTAAGCGTATGTTTTGTTCTTTAACTTCTGTCTGATAATTATATTATTTAAATTGTTTTTCTTGTCTGTTGATTTGTTTCTGGATGTTCTGTTATCCTTAACAATATACTGATTCTCTGTGTATGTGTGTCTCTCTCTCCATATCTCTCTAAACACATGCACACAAACTCTCTCTCTCTCTCTCTCATGTACACTATATTGCATACAAATGATTTACCAAAATAATTGACTTTATTTTTAATACAGACCTACAAGTTAGTTACTTTCATTTTCACGTTACAGTTGAGGAAACTGAGACTCAAAGGGAAAAATGACTTGGCCAAGTTTATACACCCAATTAGTGTCAGGATAGTTTAAGATTACCTTGTTGTCTACTATGGAGATAAGTTCCTCCAGAAGTTTTACTTATGCAAGCATTACCCATATCAGATCATCTTAAATCAGGGTGAAAATATGAGTATCTGAACAACTCAGATTTGGTCCCAGACTTCAAGTATGCTCAAGAGCTGGTTCTTGTTTTCTCCTTCATTGGAGTATATTAACCTTATGATTCTAGCTTAGAATAGCAAAAGTCTCTGGGCAGACTCTCTATATTTCGTCAGCCATAGACTATAATTTCTGTCTTTTTCATCTGAGAATTCTATCTGAACAAAAGTTAACTTGGCTTGCAAGGAAAAGTTCCCCAAATTCAGTGATAGTTTTCCTCTTTGAGCTCCCATCTTCTTTAACTCTTATCATGTTTTTCTGTTAGCTCTGTTCTGCTTCTTCGTTTGACTTGCATTGAATTGGGTAACTTTTTTTTTCCTCTTCCCGATGTATATAAATGACTTAAAGTATATCAATATCACTATATTCTCTATAACACACAAATAACTAGCATAAATAACTTGCATTTAGACAGTATAGTCTAAATACAAGTTCCCTGTCCTATTTTGTAGGTCTTTGAATGTTGTTTAAAAAAATACAACTAAGACATGTTAAATTTCACTAAGTTTATTTGACCAAGAAAAAGGTTTGAGAACTAGGCACCATCCCAGAACAAAGATTGTTCAGAGTGACTCCACATCCAGAGTGGTGAGATGTATTTATAACCAGAACATAGAAAATTATATTCAGAGTTTCCCTGATTGGTGCAGTTCAATATTTGCCTTATTTGGGCATAATTTGGCAGCATTCAGCCTGGGATTGACTAAGGGTTTGGCTCCTATGATTGGTTGAGGCTCAGTTGCTTGGTTACAAGTCTATACATCTACATTAGCTTACAACTTATTTACACATTAAGTTAGAGTACAGTCACTATGTATGGATGCCGCTTTGGGCCAAATTTAATTAGGCAAGTACAATGGGCACTTTGAGCCAAACTTAACTCAGCTTAACAATGTTCTCTAGTATTTGTTTTACTTTGTTGTATTTGTTTGATTCAATATAGCAAATGCTTCTTTAGACTTACCCACATGTTTATATATATTACTGTTTTGCCTCCATTGAACATGCCTTCTACTTCCTAATTTGTGCCAGAATTGACTAGTAGATGCTATGAATACATCATGCTCTTTCGCCCATTTGGAACACTCAGGTATGTCTGTACTCTTAGTTCATCTATTCATCATTGCTTCTACAGTTCCCTCATGCTTTAAAAAATATGTGGCTTTTATAATTTATCCAGCTTTTTCTTGTCATTTTAATAACAGTAGTCTTATACAACTACTACATTCATCCCAGAAGTAGAAGCAAACTATTATAATCCCATTATTTTTATTCTTACTATTCTCTTTTCAGAATTTCTTTTAGATATTCCTTGGATAGTTTTATTCAATCCTCCATGTCTTTCAGCTTATCTTATGTTCTATCTTTTGGTTCATATTCTGCATTCTGGATAATTCTTCATCTTCATTTTCTAGTTTGTTGATATTCCTTTTGGTGACTATAAGCTGCTCTTTAAAATGGTCAATAATGCCTAAGATGTTTATTATTTTGCCCTTTGCAGAAAAAAATTTTCAGCTTTTGCTCTGGAATGATTTTGCATCTCTTCCACCAAACTTCCAGTGTAACAATGGCCAGAAAATAATCTATATGTTAATTTGTTAATTTGATGGTTCATGGTTCAAGGCTGTGCAATTTATAAGTTTGAAGTCAAACAACACATGATGGATAATCCTGATGTTACAGATTCTCAGGGGAGAATATATATTTGTTTTTTCTACCAATTGTTCTAGTATTTACAGACAAACTTCTTAATTATACTGGGTTGGTTAAAAAGTATTTTTCTTTACTCTTTCAATCTAGGTCCAGCTATGCATCACCCCTTCGCTGATGAGCCTTAAGAAAATCCAAATTTATAAATTGCTGGGTCCATCTCTCTTGCCATCCAGAAAAGTCAGAGCAACTGGTCTTGCTGGTTTTAAGTGTTGCCTGTGTTTCTGGCATTGGTAATTTTCTTTGTTTTCCTGTAGTTTTAGGTATACATATATAATGACATCTCCAAAATTCATCAATATTAGCATTTGTTATGAAGATTTTTCAGGCAACTGGCTTACCATATGGCCTAAATCTGATTCTAAAGTCCAAGTTTTACTTTCTCAAATATAAAAACTGTTTGCTAATAAGCATTAGAAAAATATTTCAAAGAAGAACATTTTGATAAATATGATTATACAATATTCACTGCAGTAAATAACCATTGCATACTCAAAGGAGTTTCATTTGCATATATAACATGAGATGAAAACCAATAATAAATGGTGACTTTTAATAAAATAGATCAGAAATAGTATCTTGTGCAAATAATCTGATGCGAGAATAATTACCCCTCTAATTAGTAAAATTCAATAAGAAGGTAAAATTTTCATTTACATGTGATCAAATAACTTTTTTTACAATACCTTTGCCTTTTGAATTCTTTAATAAAATACATCAGAAATAGTATCTTGAACAAACAACCTGATGTGACAATAAGTTCCCCTCTAGTAAAATTCAGTGAGAGTGTAGGATTCTCATTTACATGAGATCAAATACCTTTTTTTTACAGTACCTTTTGCCTTTTGAATTCTTTATTGTTTTCATTTAAGAAATGTGGAAATCTGAAACAAACTATATTCTCAATCATGTTAGAAAAAGTATATGTAATATGTATTTTTTTTAAAGTCCAGTGGCTAAGAACTTAGACTGGGTTTTGAAATAATAATTTCCTAACACAGTTTCTCAGTATGTTTCCTCTAGACAAGAGAAAACTCTGTAATTATAAGATTCTTAATTTACCCTGGTAATTTCATAAGAAAAATGATTAATTACTTTGAGCAATCAGTTATACAGATAATCATGGTTCTTTATTTAAACCACAAAAAATAGAAAGCAGGGAAGCTTATGCATAAAACATAAAGAAAAATTCATTTAGTAAAAATGAAATCAGTGTTAAAATATTTCTTTTGACACAGTCAGCTAACATCTTTCTATTTTTGCTGAGTAACAATTATATTTTAAGTTCAACTAACTCTTGACACAGCAATGGAATTTGAAGTGAATATACTACTTTAAAAAATAAATGTTGTATTTAGAGTGCTGACATTTAGAAAATGGTAGTTTTGTGAAATTTGCAATGTGTTTTAGAATTATAAATGCTAAAGTAAATGAATGCATGATTATATTTAATAGAATAAAAACAGAAGAATTTTTTAAGTCTTGACGACCCAAGGCAGGGTTCTGTTTTAAGTATTCCCCTTTCAATCAACGTTACAGCTATCCTAACTTAAAACCACTTCAACTAATAATGTGTATTTATATTAAAAATGTAATCCATGGCTCTGAACCCTGGCTTCCTGGTAGAATCACATGGCAAGATTTTAAGTAATACTCATTTCTTGGCTCTACTAAAGTCCAGTTAAAACAGAACTTCAGTTTTTAGAAGGAGATGTGGGTAGTTTGAAATGTTCCACATTATTCTAAGATGTGGGTGAGATTAAGAACCAGTAAGCACACCAGTCAGAATGGCTATTATTAAGAAGTCAAAAAATAGCAGGTGCTGGCAAGGTTGCAGAGAAAAAGGAACACTATACACTGTTAAAGAGAATGTAAATTAATTCAGCCATTGTGGAAAACAGTGTGGTGATTCCTCAAAGACCTAAAAACAGAACTACCATTAGACCCAGCAATCCCATTACTGGGTATATACCCAAAGGAATATAAATTGTTCTATTATAAAGACACACGCACACATATGTTCACTGCAGCACTATTCACATTAACAAAGACATGGAATAGACCTAAATGGCCATCAATGGTAAAGACTGGATAAATAAAATGTTGAACATATACACCCGGGAATAAGATGTAGCCATAAAAAGGAACGAGATCATGTGTTCTGAAGGAATATGGATGGAATTGAAGGCCATTATCCTTAGCAAATGAATGTAGGAACGAAAAAACAAATGCCACATTCTCTCACTTGTAAGTGGGATCTAAATGATGAGAACACATGCACACAAAGAAGGGAACAACAGACACCGGGGCCTACAAGAGGGCAGAAGGTCGGGGGAGGGAGACGATCTGGAAAAATAACTAATGAATCATAGGCTTAATGCCTGGGTAATGAATTAATCTGTAAAACAAGCCCCCATGATGCAAATGTATTTATATAACAAACCTGCACATGTACCCCTGAAATTAAAGATTAAAAAAAAGAAACAGGGAGCATTGCTAGGCTATATTTAGTAAGCACCAACTGCGCATGCTTAACCTATAAAATGCCTAAAATATAGATAGTAAAAAATATGCACGAGAGTGACATAAAACAAGAATTCAGGTATAGCAGTTGTTTTTATTTGTTTAAGAATAAATTCAAAATTCAGAATTATAATTGTATATTCATAAGAGAAAACACAATCAGATTCATTTTATATAAAATATATTGTGCTAATTTACACACTTTTTGATCCCTAATAATAAATACAACTCTGTTAGATGGCTTAAAAGCAATCTTTACATTGCTTAGAGAAAGTTAAATATCAATTGTATATTTAAATTTTCTACTTATATGACAGCATGCTATTTTTCCTTAACTTTGGGTAAATAATTTTATGGTGTGATGAAACCGATCTGACATTTTGAAAAAGGGCATGTTTTTTAATGAAATATAAAAGAGTTGTAATTTTAGTTATTCACTGTTGCACAAACCTACTTTTTTGGCTTCATTTGCGAAAGGTTGTTGGATAACCTTTATCTTTTACCCCTAACTTCTTACTCTGATCCAAAATATTTGGCTTTTAAAATTCTCCTTATTTCATTATTTGTCTTCATATTTAAAATATCTTCTGTGATATTTCACTTCTAATTTTTTAATATTTTTACATAAACAGAGATGAATACTTATATCCCCGATTTTTAAGAGAGGATTTTTATTGCCCTGTTAATTTGGAAATAAACATGTGATAATATGATTTTAAAATGCTAAAGTGGAGCTCTAGTAATTCAACTGAAAATAGCATTATGAATAAACTATACTGTAGCAACTCTTTAACATAATAAAGGAGGACATCAACAGACCAGAAAATTGATGAATTTTGGAATATATGAAGCATGTTGTATCAAATTGCCAGAGAAACTAATGATTTTCTGTTACTGAACTTAGGTCACAAAGCCTACTGCCTGCTAATCGGCAAGTGGACCTGTTTCTCTAACAATGGCCCAAAACTTCACAATATCAAAGGAGAAATCATTGCCAGCAAAAGCATTTCCGGGTAGTAGGAAAGAATACAAGGGAATAACATTAGTCCAGAAGTTTTAATAATATTCTTTGCTGGTTGAAATTCATGTTTAACATGATGTAAATTACTTGATAAGCAAATTAAGAACTATGCTACTACAGACTCCAAATAAGATGCAAGAAAAATGAGAGGAAATACATTAAAGGAAAATCTTAAAAAACAGCTGCACAGAAGATAAATTATTTTTCCAGGAGTTTTAAACATAGTTGCTTTTGTTTGCTTTGCTGTTTTTTCTTAATAATTGTTTTAGTAAGCTCAGCCTGCTATATAAAAATAAGATAGGCGCTGGTCTGAACAATAGACATTTATTTCTTATAGTTCTTGAACCTGGCAAGTCTGAGGAGGGTCATCTTCTGGGCTTTCAAAGGGCTGCCTTTTTCCTATGTACTTACATAGCGAATAGAAAGCGTTAGCTCTCTGGTCTCTTCCTATAAGAGCACTAATCCCATCATGAAGACCCCATCCTTATGGGCTCATCTAAACCTAATTACTTCCAAAGGTCCCACCTCCAAATGCTAACACGTTGAGAGTTAAGGCTTCAATATATTAATTTTGGGGAAACAAGACACAGTCCATAACAAATATATATATATATATATATATATATATATATATATATATATACACACACTATATGTATGTATAATATATACATATACAATATATACGTGTAATATATATACAAATATATATAATATATATTACATATACCCAAATATATATATATTATATATATTTGTATATATATTATATATGTTATATAATACAACTATATACACTCTACAAAGGCAGTGGAATATAGACATACTTCAATTGATTGTGCTTTGCTTCACTTGGCCTCACAGATAATGTGTTTTTCACAAATTGAAGGTTTATATCAACCCTGCATCAAGCAACTTTATTGGCACCACTTTTTAATAGCATGTGTTCATTTGTATCTCTGTGCCATATCTAGGTAAATCTCACAATATTTCAAACTTTTTAATTATAATTATATTTGATATGATAATCTGTAACCAGTGACCTTTGATGTTACTATTGTAATTGTTTTGGGCACCATGAACCACATCTATATAAGACAATGAATTTAATCAATAAATGTGTGTGTTCTGACTGCTCTGCCAACTTAGACAATTAGTTTTAGATCTTTTATTTTAGACGATGAGAAAATTTAAACTATAAATAGGCCAGGTCTGGTGGCTTATGCCCGGAATCCCAGCACTTTGGGAGGCTGAGGTGGGAGGCTCACTGGAGGCCAGGAGTTCAAAACCAGCCTGGGCAACATAGGGAGACCTTAGCTCTACAACTGAAAAAAAAATAGCCAGGTGTGGTCATGGTGGCACCTGTCTGTATTCCAGCCACTTGGGAGGCTGAGGCAGGAGGTTTGCTTGAGTCCAGGAGTTTGAGGTTGCGGTGAGCTACACAATGAGCTATGGTGGCACTACTACTACACTCCAGCCTGGGCCATAGAGTAAGGCCCTGTCTCTAAGTGGAAGTCCAAAGAGGGATCTACTTCCAAGACTATTAATTTAATAGATCAATAAATTAATCAAGAATATAATTTTTTCCTCATCTTTCTTTGTAGTCATATTTTATACAGACTTTTTGTGTAAGTAATCTCTCTTTATGGGCAGACAATGATTTCAGAAATACCACACATTATTCTCAAAGAGAAAAGAAGAGGATTTTTTTTTTTTAGAAAATGTAACTCTTTTCAGTAACTCTTGGCAGACCTACCCTCACATTTTCTTGACTAAAAACAGTCATTAAAAAAAGTCAATCACAAACAGGTGAATTTAAATTGTCATGGTTTACCTATACTTAACAAGCTTTATCCTCAGAGGTAAGGATAGGGTTACTTTCCTGAATTTTAGATATGTGGAAATATTTGGAGTTATGTCAATAAATGAAAAAGTATGATGGATATAGTGCTTGCCATGGAATATATCAAATACAGATATTCTGAAAACTTTAAGTTCAGTAATATGCCAGGGGTTCTCAAGACCACTTGAGACCTGGTAATTTATTGGAGGTCTCTAAGGGAATCAGAAGCTGTTGTACTCATTGTTACAGTATATTACAGTAAAAACAGTACAGATAGAAGTCAGCTAAGAGAAAAGACAAATGAAGTGAACTCCAGGAGAAACCAAGTCCAAGCTCTCAGGTGTCTCCCCTCCCAGAGCAGTTGCAGGGGGACATGTTTAATTATCCCAGCAACAATATGTAAAGTGCAAAGCATTGCCAACCAGGAACACTCGCTGGAGCCTAGTTGTCGAAGGTGTTTACTGGGATCAGTCACATAGTCATGTAATGCCCATATGATTGACCTCAGCTCCATGACATTTCAGCACAACTTTCTTCCTACACCCAGAGTAAAAACAGATGTTCACATAAGTCACGTTGATAACATAACCTTTTCTGGTCGAACTGGGAGAGTATGGCCCAAGACTTCAGGAAAACAACAACACTTTTATCAAGCAAAATACTCCAAGGGCTCAGAGATGAACTCCTAGACTAAGGTCTAGTCCTGCAGAGGGACCCCTCTTTGGAATGTACAGTATTTGAGCAATTCAGGCCAGTCAAGTTAAACCTTTTCACCCATGCCTAAATGCTATTTAAGAAATGTAAATAACAACGATGAGATAGTTTATTAAACGTTTTTATTGAAATACACAAATAGTATATAGTTAATTAATTTTAACAAAGTGATTGTACATATTTCACAATAAAATTCCCTTAAATTACCATCTGCTCCATCTGCAAGTAATTATTATTCTGATTGCTAATAACAGACTTTTTTTAACCTATTTTTGAACTTTTATAATAGAATTAAACAATATATATTCTTTTCTGGATGGCTTCTCTTACTCAGAAATGTATTTGGGAGAGTCATCAAAGCTCTCTTGGGTATACCATTTATCCTTCTTGCATGATAATACTCCATGTATGTATATATATGCTATGATGTGTTTATTTTACTCTTGATGGATAACTGCAAAACTTCCAATTTAAGCTGTTATGAATAATTCTTTAATAAACCATTTTGTACATTTGCTGAATATGTTTATGTGTTCCTGTTGGATGATAGTAGCAGAATTATTGGTCACAGAGTATGCATATACTTAATTTTAACAGATAAGGTCAAATACTTTCCAAATTCATTTTAACAATTACAGTCAATCTGCATTGTTTTAGAGCCCCGATTGCAGGGTCATTTTGGATTAGTTTGTCTTTCTCTTACTGATTTTAATGGATAGTGTTAGGCTGTAAATAAAGTTATTTATGCATAGTAAGAACTTTCTCAACAAATTTTACTCAGACTTCGGCTCTACACTAAGAACTAGCTCTTGAAATTAATTCACGGAAAGAACATGGTTAGGGGCCATCCTGAGGGATTTACCTCACTAGGGATATATATTTACATTTCAAGAGAAGATGAGACCCAGTAGATGCATCCCAGAAGTTACAAAGCTGGAGACTCTAGCGTTATCTTTCCCCTGGAGAGATTTATTTTTATCCAAATGGTTAGAGTAAGAACTCAGATTTTTTTCCGTTTTGTGACTATGGAGACACACTCAGAAGGGGGTCAGAGCAACTGGGTCACTCTTCCACGAAAATGCTCAGGTTCTTTTTTCCAGAGTTCTTTGCCTACAGCAGATCCCCTTACATGTAGGACATCTGATTCTCACCACATCACCACCACGGTAAGAATTAGTGGAAAGGAGAGCTAAGTTAAGGGCAGCTGTTTCTTTCCTTCTCTGCAGCCTCTGGTACCAAGTACTGCATGACATGTGTCTCACAACATTCTCTGCCTCTGCACCTCTGTGCTACGACACTGGATGAATCTATGGAGTGAGCAATAGAAAGTCTCTGAACTGCCAGAAACAACTTCATTTTACATGGAAGTGGCTTTAAATCAAACACATTAACCTCAATGAACTGAAATTAAATATGTCTCTATTCAACTTCCCCTTAGCTGAATACTAAAAGTGCTGTAGGCTGGACCTGCACTACCTGACAGGGAGATAAATGACTAAAGGCAAATGGGAGTCAAAACAGGTATGGCCTTTCTTATTTTTAATTAAACATCTTACATAGCAAATTTTGCAAAACTCATATGACCCCGAGAAAGACCCATACACATAAGAGGTCTTAAAGATTTAACTTTCTTAGCTTTACCTTAAACTTTCCACTGGATTTTCCCATTACACTCATTCCATAAAGAAATGAAATAATCATATATAATTGATTAATAAATGATAAATAAATGAAATAATAAATAATAATAATGATAAATATACAAATAAAAATGATAAATAATAATGATAAATAAATGATTAATAAATGATAAATAAATGAAATAATCATATATAATTATACTAAATTGATCTCAACACATTTTCTTAGCAATATATACCAACATTGTTTCCAATATTGTTTATTACAAATGATGCTACAGTTGAAATCTTTATATCTGAACACGTGTGTGTGTGTGTGTGTGTGTGTGTGTGTGTGTGTGTACCTACTCTGTGTATAACACTGATTTTATTTATCTGTATAGGCCTGGAAGTGGAAATGCTGTGACATAAAATAGAGGCACAGCAAATTATTCAAGATGTCGACAAACAGCATTGTTTCCAAGTTTTTGTTCCCTTACAATCCTTGCCATTGGCCAATTTCTCAAAATCCCATGTTGCTTAACATTTAGTAGCTTAGTAAATATTTTAAATCTCAGAGATTTTACCCAACTGATACCAGGGTTTTTAAAATTTGTTTATATAGATTAAGCGTCTTTGAATAAATAACAGTATGCAAAAAATATGATTGCTATTCTTCATGATAAAACTATCTTAAACTCTTTTCCAGAGGAAAAAATAACAAAATAGAAACCAATGAAGGTCTTTTTCTTGGTGATTACATATATTGATTACCTGTGTAAGTTAAACACATTGGGAAAAGGAAATATCCAAAATTGTGCCTAGATTGTATCATGACATCATGTATATATGTAAATAAGTTAATTTTTACAATCGCAACATAGAGAAAAATGTTATTCTAAATGAATAAAAATAAATAGAACATAAAGTAATATTTCAGCATATTAAATTTAGTAGTAAAAACCTTTGACATCCCTGAAAATCTTTGGTAAAAAGTCCAGATTATGATAACTTGGCTTTAATGAACTAGGAAATAGATGGATAATAGCACACACATTTTTAGCATTGTAGGGATTATTTTCACTGGTTGTAGGATCAACACACTTGGTTTACATAATGGTTCTGAGAATGTAATTAATTAATTAATTTAATTCATTTTTGTTAGGAAAATAAATTCATTTCTAGACACAGGATATTTTACAATTAGATTGTATTTCAAAAAAAGAAACACTGTGTTTTTAATGAACAAATGTCACATAAAGAAGTCTTTTCAAAAAGTGCTTCAAAAACTTAAATTTGAAATATATGCAAAGGATCCACAAGGTATCTAATAATTTTTATTTTTACCAAGCTCATGAGTAAGTTAGTTAGCCCTGAAACGGTTTTGGAGAAAAAAAAAGTGTTTTAGTTTCTTCATCTGTAAAATATTTATGTGGCAAATGATTGAGCAAATATATAAATTTAAGCAGTTTGATCCTAGAACTTGTTATGTTTAAGAATATGGATTATTGAGAAGTACTTCACCATAGTATTTATCACATAGTATGTCCTAATTTAAGATTAACTATGGTTGTAATCATAATAAAGTATTTTGAAAATTCTTTTGAAAACTCTGTTTTAATAAATTATAGATTGAACATTGAGATAAGATGGAGTTATCCATGATCTTTAAGACAGCAAAATTAGGTCTTGAAATTAAAATTGAAATGAATATAATACACATATATTGATTTTATGTCGATGTTTTATAATCAAATCTGATTAGAAAAAGGAAATTGGTATAAAGGTTCTCCACATCTTCTCAGTCACCCTACTTCATTTTCTAAGGGAATTACATTACGTACTTTTATTTTATTTCTTGTTATATAGCAGTATCCTTTCCTTGATTTCTTGGCTTGCTTCTGCTCTCTTCTGCTATGCCTATCCATCGGTTTCCAGAGCTCAGACAGTTTTTAACAGTCTAATATGTGTATTTGGCAATTTCCTCCCATAACTATGATTTAATATTCATGGCCACATAAAGGGTATAAAATATTTTGCACTCGGTGTATACACATTTTCTTTATATCACTTTATCTTTCATCAATAACTCAATGGAAATCCTGTTAAGAGAATATGAATAGCTGTAGTTGGTATTCAATGTCTGCCTAACATTTCATGTTGACAAATTATCATAAACTATTCAATAGAAGAATTTTACTAACAATATATCATTAACATTCTAAAATGTTTTTGTATAATCTAGATTTTGGTGGGAACAAACCTTGGAACAAACTGGTTCCAAGTTTTCTTGGAGGGGAGTGGTGAAAAAGAAATGGGGAAATTTATGTTTTTTGAATTTGTCAACTTATTGAGGAGGGGTAAGTAGAGAAATGGACTAATTTGCTAAGACAATAGAAGGTATTTTTATTTCAAATAGTACTTGAAAATTATGCATCTAATTGTGAGGTCAAAAAATTGAAGATACCCCTTAATAAAGAAATAAAGGATAGATCTTCCAAAATAACAAGGATGTAGTGGAATGAATAAAAAATGTATCAAGTCAGCAGCAATAAAGTAAAAATATTAGAAAAGTAATGTTAAATAGTTGTCAGATGGAAGGATATATTTGAGCAAATATTTTGTTAAATAGATGACAAAAAGGTAATATTTATACATTACATATATGTGTTTGTATGTATGTATGTATTTATTTATTTTGAGATATAGTCTTGCCTGTCACCCAGGCTGGTATGCAGTGGCACGATCTCGGCTCACTGCAACCTCCGCCTCCCGGGTTCAGACAATTCTCCTGCCTCAACCTCCCGAGTAGTTGGAACTGCAGGCGACCGCCACCACACCTAGCTAATTTTTTTCTTTTTAGTAGGGACGAGGTTTCACCATGTTGGCCAGGCTGGTCTTGAACTCCTGGCCTCATGATCCGCCTGCCTCAGCCTCCCAAAGTGGTGGGATTACAGGTGTGAGCCACCGTGCCCAGCCTCGTAGATGTCTTAAAATTCACCTGATAAAGTTAGGAGCCTCAAGAAAAATTAGCAGGGGAAAATAATAGGTAGTTACTATTTAGGGTAAACTAAACTGTTCTAAGGAATAGAAAATAAAAATTCCATGTCTTAAAAAATAATTCTTCCCTCTCATTCTCTCTGAATATCTCATAAGAGTATTCAGGCCACAGAAATAACTGCCATTTAGCCACTCAGAGGCTTATAGTAGTTCTACTAACTTTAACATTTGGCAACCAAAATTACTCTAAGAATCATCACCCAAGTCAGACAAACAGGTAAGATAACAAGAAAAAGTGCTTGTATAAGGATTTAAGACTAAGGCTCAGGGACAGCAAATATTCTATTTGCTAAAACTAAGCCACATGCACACACCAAGCAAGAGAGCCAGGGAAGTGGATAGGCACAGGCAGTCCACAGAAGAATGAATCAAAGTGCTGAACTTTCATAGAAAAATCTGTTAAGATTCATGGGTGGTAAAGAAAATACAAATTAAAATAACACAGGAATGTCACCAGAAAAACCATCAAATAGGTAGCATTTAAAGATAACTATAGGACTTACTGTGTCTAGTGTTCTCTCATATGTTTCTGGTGAAGAATAATTTATTGTAGAGCTTTTTGAAACAATCTGACAATTTATATTGCAATTAATTGTACTTATGCCATCTGACCAAACAATGTAACTCCTAGGCTTTTTGCCTATATGGCTAAAATCATATGCACAATAGTGGTTATTACATTCTTTAGCCCAGTCGCCATTAAATTCCTCGTGCCCTTAAAACCTAAAAGTTCACAGGGAGAAGACCTCTTACTGACTTGTAGAATCTCAATACTACTTATCTTGAAATTTCAGTAAGTGTTAGGTAAAAGAGTTCATTTGGGATAATCACACTATGATAGTCTTTAGCTTTTGAATTGGAATCCAAATTTTAGTTTAGAACAGCAAAGTTTGCTCCTAAAGATTTCATGAAGTAAAAATACTAATTGTGATTATATATCTAAATATTTGCACATCTAAAATTGTCTTTTACCTGTAACCAGAATAAATGATACCTCTTTTTTTTAAAAAAAAAAAAAAAAAGAAGAGTAATCTATTTAGAAAATGAAAAAATTAGGCTAAAATGGTGACTTAAGTAATTTAAATGGATATAGATTTATAAAATTAAACTGTATTTCTCAATTTTGAGAGGAAAAAATCAAGGAAATCAAATATACCTTCTCTTTCTTTTGTCAACAGATGTATGCTGTCTTAATTGATGCTTAATTTATTTTCCCATTACATAATTTTAATATTGTAATAATTATAACAACAGACACAAAATGAAATTTCTGTATATTTATGAAAAATGCTAAAATTATAAAGTAATTTAAATATATAGGTTTAATTTATTCATATGATTTAAAATTTTATGTCATTTTATTTTATTTCTTAATTTTTACTATAATTAAATGTTAATAAAATAAAGTCTTTAAAAATTCTGATTTGGCCTTGCAATATGCGATTAGAACACTTGTAAAAATGCAAACATATAAATAATGCAAAAATAATATTTGAAAAATGTAATCGTTATTGTTATTGAACTTCCAAAAGTTATTGACGAAGTATTCAGAAGCATTTTAGAATATTGTAAAATATTATTTAAATTATATTTAATTAAAAAATGATATACATTACTCAGTAAAAAGAAAAATAGATTAGTATCAAGGAAAGCAAAACTGAAAAGATGAAAATGTTTTAATATTCAAGAAGTAATCCTGTCTTTTTTACTGAATTAAGGGCCTTCCCTGCAATAAAATCGATTATGCTCACATGTTAAAAGTATATCTTAATAATTTAAGTGAAGAAATAAAATCTGTCATCACTTTCACTTTCATCTGGAAAATAGTACCTGGTAAGTTTTTTCAATTGCAGACTATAAACATAGACGCAAATTTATTAACTTGGCACTATTATATAAGGTGCATAATGAGAGTTTGTAAAATGGCAAAATAGTTTTTTCTAGTCCTATAATTAATTTATCATCAGAATAGCCTCAGACTGCTATACAGATTCATTCTATGAACAGTATTGGTGAAAAAGCAGATGTGTTCCTGTTTTTTGTTTGTTTGTTTGAGACTATCACTGTTAAATATACATCAAGCAAAATAGTTAAAGAAAAGCCTTTGGAGTAATGTAGTAAATTCAATAATATGTATATGTGCACACACACACAAATACACATCCCAAACAACAACAAGAGGAATAAGAAATTTATAACCTGGGTGGGCGCGGTGGCTCATGCCTGTAATCCCAGCACTCTGGGAGGACGAGACGAGCAGATCACTTGAGGTCAGGAGTGAGACCAGCCTGGCCAACATGGTGAAACTCCATCTCTACTAAAAATGCAAAAATTAGCCGGGGCGTGGTGGTGAGCACCTGTCAGCTACTCAGGAGGCTGAGGCAGGAGAATCGCTTGAACCCAGGAGGTGGAGGTTGCAGGGAGTGGAGATTGCATCACTGCACTTCAACCTGGATGGCAGAGCAAGACTCTGCCTCAAAAAAAAAAATTATTACCAAAAACCTCACTAATTCTGTACATCAGCATTTATTAAAATAAGGATAAGAGAGAGCTACTATAGATATCTCTAAGAAAATAAATAAATGATTATTGAATGTGTAGTTAATCTTCTTTTTGTTTGCCTATTTCTCTTTAGAGCCACGCCCATGAATTGCATTTACGGGCTGGATTACCAAGGGCTTCTCTGAAATGGCAAAGAAAATAATGTTTGATTTCAAAATGCAATAATAGTAGCTATATGAAAACATGACCTTTGAGAGATTATTCAGCAAATAATACACTTAATGAAACTTGTTTTTTAAGAAATAGATATTTCAGAAAATGTGGTACTACATATGATTGTTGCCAAATCATTCCGTATGCTTAATGGTTGTTCAGCACTTTCTGTTTTATAAAGTACTTTCAAATATATCAATTCAGTTAGCTAGTACCCAAATCCTTGATGTAATCACTGTCATATAACATACAAGCAAACTGTGTATAATGAATCACACTGTAGTTGGAGTACAAGAGTAGGCATCAGGAAAGTGGCAGGTGTGTCATTTTGAATAAAGGCCATTGTGGGAAAGGTTCCTTCAGACAGATCCCTCTCCCCAGGTATTTTTGTGGTGAGAAGAGCGGGTGGGGTTTGTGGAGTAGAGTCTGGGGCTTGTGCATTCTTAATTCAAGTAACAGCACTTGAATTAAAGGTTTATCCTAACTATAAAGCTATACCTTTTTCTCATGATGTATTTGAATATATTCTTTTTAAGGAAAGAAAAAAATGTAGTCATATAAATGATCAGGTCCTGAAGTATATGTATGTCACTTATTGCTAGTCTCTTCTGTATTTTATGTGAATACCATAAACATTTTTAAAATTTTAAAGAAGTAAACATATATACAACATAGATTTTTAAAATGAGATATATGCTGAAACAAGGCTTTGAGTAGGTATAATGTTCTGAAATGTAATTAGATGACAAATTATTTCTGGTACACATTTCCTAGCACTTATATTTTTCACCCACTCATAAAACAATGTGAAGTAGGTCATATTGAGTCACCAAATTAAACATTCAAATTATTCTACATCTCCAAAAGTAGCCCATAATTAAAAGGAATTTCATATTGGAATAACTGGAACTAATTTGCTTACTCATTAAATTGTGTCCAAGTGTAGTCTCTGAATTATATCAATTAGGGAACAAGAAGGCATACTTAAAAAGAGCTGAATTAACAGTGCAAATAAAGTAACCACTGTGGATATTTTTGAAAATTCTAGTGTTAATTTTGTTAGTCAATGCAATGGAAATACATCAGTAGCATAGTAATAAAAAAGTATTTCTTTTTATAGCATCTTTGATAATTATAAAATTAATAAATATTTATTATTTAAAAAACGGAATAATTCCTACATCATTAAAATCACAAGTAACTCCACTGTCTAATTACAACAACTATTGCGGTCTTGATGTATTTTCTTATCA
Source organism: Homo sapiens (assembly GCF_000001405.40). NCBI lineage: Eukaryota > Metazoa > Chordata > Mammalia > Primates > Hominidae > Homo > Homo sapiens. The sequence goes on along the minus strand of NC_000004.12, from coordinate 131,918,990 downwards.
TTTTATTTATTTATCATTGATATCTTAGGTGAGTATTAAAATATAGCCTGACATTATTTTATGATTAATAGTTTATTTAAAATATATTATATGATTAAGTGTCTATTTAAAATTAAGCCTGTTAAAAATAAAACTATTGATCTTTCCTATCCTCTAATCCCAAATTTGCTCCTCCCAAATTTAAACCTAGGTGAGTAATTCCAACTCTGTTCTTCCCATAGTTCAGGCCAAAACATTGCCAATATCATGGACTTTTGCCTCTAATATACAGGGTTCAAATATATCTTGTTTGCATAGAACAATTTCAATTTATAATTTACATAGTTTATAGTTTAGAACAGCTTTCCGAATAGTTTACACAATAGTTTCCTCACTAATTTCCCTGTTTTCTCTTTTGCTATGCTATGGTCTATTTTCACAAATCAGTCAAACTGTTACTGCTAATTCTTTAAAGAGGCGATTGCTTTTCCATTTAAAACCCTTCATTTTCTGCCAATTAAATAAACAAAAGTTCTTACCATTTTCTAAGAAGCTTTATGTGACCATCTCCCCATGGAGTGTGACCTCATCTCCTCTGCTGTATCACACTGGCATCCTTAGTGGAACCTCATGGGAGCATTCATACACCAAGGCCTCATTTGCTATTTCTGCTCCCTGAAAATATGTTCTCTCAATTATGCTCTTGGCTCATTCTCTCATAACCATTCATTGTATTCAGATGATACCACCCAGTGAGACTTGCAGCAACCATCTTGTTCAGTATCCAGCACCTCTTGTGCCCAGAACTCTCTATTCCCCTCCTTTGCCACATTTTTTAGAATAGAACTTAAACCATCTGGCATACAACACATGATACTTTGTGGTATTAATTACTGTTTTTCTCCCAACACTGGAACAACAGCTTTATGAAGCCAAGACATTCTGAATGTTATTTTCACTATTTTTTCCCCAGTCCCTAGAAATGGGCCTAGAATATACATAGTAGATGCTCAATAATTTGTTGGGGAACAAATGAAAGTTGACCTCAGTAATATTTTATAATGAATAGGCTTACAATTTATGAAAAAGCCATAACTTATTTAGCCATCTCCCTAAATTTGCATGCTTTTGTAAGTAATAATATCATGGTTGTGAAAACAATTATGTGTGTATATACATAATATGTATATAGGTATTTTATGGCAGTGATATACATACATGTATAGTCTTCTGTAATATTTATAGGTGCTTTTGTTTTGCTTGCATTATGCAGCATATATGATTTTATAGCTAGTATTCTGGATGTCCATGAAACATCAATTAAAAATAAACTAATATTATTAAACAGCAGACCTGTTAAAGTGGTAGTCAAAATATTCTTTCCCCATTATATACCTCAGAGATTTCTGATGAACCCTTTTGAAATCTAATAGTGGCTGTAATCATAATAAATTTTTTCTAGATAGTTTTACAAACAATTTTTAATCTTCAAACTTCAAGGCTAATGTATGCATGTTGAATGATTATGGCATTCATATATAAGCTATGTTTGGAACCAGAACTTACCAGTGCTTATATTTATGTGTAGGTATGATAGACAAAGCATAGGAATAACAAGATATCATTAGTTTACTATTCATTAAAAATGTGAATAGAACTGGTTTTGCCCTGTAGTTTTTGCTGTGATAAACCTTAGCCATGAAAATAACCTGATATTGAGCATGTGCGTCATCCGTCTTATGACTCACCAAAAATAGGGAAATGAGTCTAGAACCATCAAAGCAGTTGACAACAGAAGTGAGATTTCAGCTTGGATGCATTTTATTATAAAAGTAGTATAATTATATTCAAGAATTTGTTAACCTTTTATCTCACTAAATAAATTTCAATATTCATTATAAATAACAAATTCAAGCATTTAAAATATTATTTATATATTCTTAATTTTTGTTGTTTGTTTTAATTACACATGTCAATCCTGTTATGGAATGACATCAACATCCCCTTGGCAAGAGGATATTTTTAAATTTCCACATGTACATTTTAAGAGTTTGATACAACCCTATTTATCTATGATTTTCTCTTTCCTATACTTAGTAATTTTCACTGTAGAAGACTCACTTATAAAAGTGTATATTATTATTATATTTGGATGATAAACTAAAATTTTGAAATATTTAGAAGCATTGTTATGAACTCATTAAAATTATCAGAATCACTTCATATAAAATGATATTTAATATTTTCTTATACATAAATAAATTAGTGACATTAATTGTTTTATACTTTTAATTTAATTTGATTATGAAAACTTTCTATGTGTTTTTGAATTTGTGTAACCTTAGACAGATTGCTAAGCCCATTTCATCATGCATTAATAGAATAGGATTAGATAATCTCTAAGGGTCCTTTTGGCTCTAAGATTATATGATTGTAATTAATGGCACTGCAGATCTTGTAGAGGGACATTAAAATGGACCCATACCTGAAGTTACTTTTCAATTGAATTAGTACTTAGGGAGTTGAGACAGTAGAAACAAGGAAGGCAAAACAGTCTTTCATAACAGATCATAATAAATTTGCTAATATTATAGAAAGGTCATTGGAAAGTGTTTGTCCTTTCTTTTTTTTTAATAGGACCTTCCCATTTTCACTTACAGTTTTGAATACATTTATATATTTCCTTCTTCAAATGTCATTTAAATTAAAAGTGTCTCTATTTTCTCCAGATGGAGTTTCAATGCTCATAAACATTTACATTAGGAGAGAATGTAGTACCTATTATCTAACTTAAGTTGAAAAGAATGAAACTGTAAAATATATTTACCAAAATAACTAAAGATTTATTTATCTTTGGTAGGCCTCAATTAGTTTACCTTTAAAAAGCATTCATTGATACAAATTTTAAAAATCCATGTAACAGACATCAATCAAATGTGATTTTTCTCCAATTTATAATTTTCTGCCACAGGAAATAAAATGCAATAATCATATTTTAAATATACATCTTTTTAAATGATTCTGTTGTGATACATATGATTGCTATTCATATTTTTACTATTATTGAATGCCCCTGTACTGACCTTTCCAATTTGATAGTGCAGTAAGAAATAAACTTTTTTTTTAATATTGAGAATTGGAAATGACCTGGTAATTTCTTTGTACTAGAGACCACTAATTGTCCATATAATGCATTCTTTCATTTTGTTTAGTAATAGAATCCTAAGTACATATGACCACAAGCAGGAGATTACCTTCTATAGTCTCTTATCAGTGATTAATTTTGATCAAGTATAACATGAATTATATTATGAGCATAAATTTAAGTTAATCTCCATAAAGACAAAGCCGGTTGTTTTTACATCTCTTCTTACACATTTTACTGGCTGGAATGCAGAAGTATTGCTGAACTTAGCCATGAGGATGAAACACTAAGATAGGATTATAAAGAGAATACAAGATGAAAATCTCCTGGGGCCCGGGATGAACTCATGGAAAAAACATCCCCACCAACTCTCTTAATTGTTGGAGAGAAATATAAGACTACAATAAGGGTCACTCCTTATACTCATCATTTTTGAGTTAGAGATATTGACAAGTGTATCAAACTATATATTTTCTCCCACAAGACATTGAGGGGCACACTTCTTTTATTCTCCAAAAGTAACAAAAAATGCTTTGGTGTCTAATTTTTAGCCTGCAAGGGCTCTCATAGTGTTGTTTTCAAAGACTTACATGTTTTATTTCCTTACCTCACTGCAACATTATAAATTTATCTTCTGTGCTAACATCATGATAGCATCTAAAGGTTCCAAGAGTGAAGATTATCACTAGTTTATGAACCTTTGTATTCCCCAAAAGGGAAAGAGATATTACATAACCAAATTCCAAGTATGATTAACCAAGATTTTTCTAAAATTTTCCACCTCTCAATTCTGTCTACTAATTTGAAATAAATGAGCAAAATACATTTGCAACATGATAATTCTTCAAACTTGGCTCTTATGCCAAGCAGTATTGATGATTGGGGCATTAACAAAAGCAATAAAATTGTTTTGCAAAACAAAAACGAAGTGAAAAATATGCTCAGCTTATCTTACACAATATTGTTTTCCACATCAAAAATGGCTAGATAACCTTAGAAAAAATGGCATATACATTATTTACCTAAAAGTTATACTAATCTGGGTAGAAGCTTAAAGTGATCTATCCTGTTATATAGTTGTCATTAACTAGGATATTAATTATTCTTAAAAGGATGCAAAATTTTTCCAAGAGATGTGCATCTGCAGACAGTTTTAAGGGACTATTGTCAAGAACTGTGAAGGATCTGAGCTTACAAGTTAGCCTGCTTCAGTTTTATGGATGCTGGCAGAAGACACATAACTGTTTGGTCAGAGACAGAAAGACTTCCATTATTTGCAGCACAGCACAGAGTTGCACGAGCTTCATGTTTGCTCTGGTTCCTGTTTTCCCTCAAGTTTACTGGAGATGATGACAAGGAGTTCAAGTTGATGCTACACACAGTTTGTGTCACAGATGAAGAACTCCAAGTAAAGGAAACTTAAATCTTTAATAAATGAGCAGTAAGCACACCTGTCTGATGTTTTCTGTAGAGGAAAACACTATCTTCATTTTACTTGAAAATAAACAAATCTGTTCTCTCATCCATAAATAAACAATATCTTGATCTTCCAGGGCTATCCACTATATAAAGATCTTTAAAAAGGAAAACCTGTAATATATGTGAAGCTAGTGCCTTTCTATTTGCAAGATGCACAGAAATGCATGAGACCAATTGAAAATTGCCTCTCAACAAATACGCTTCCAGTTTTTTAGCTTGCTCTTTTCTAAACATGAAAATTCTCAGAAAGTACATGTTCCCAAGATTCATGCCATTTCTTTTTTCCCAAGTTGCTTTATCACAATCATCTTATTTTTCACATTACCAATTAATGCACTTCCCTAAACTATCCAAAATTTTCCGTGGTGTTATAGTTTCTAAGGTACTAAGAAGAAACTCATAGATGAAGCATATTTATAAATTGTTTACAAAATAATATCGAATACATATTTTCTCCTTTTCCCTGTCACTAGTAACTTTTTCTCTGCTTGGTTAATTCATATCACGTATTTAATAGCCAAATTTATTCAGAACATACTGAGAGGTGAAGCCAGCTGGACTTCCTAGGTGGAGTGGGGACTTGGAGAACTTTTTTGTCTAGCAAGAGGATTGTAAAATGCACCAATCAGTGCTCTGTAGCTAGCAAGAGGATTGTAAAATGCACCAATCAGTGCTCTGTAAAATGCACCAATCAGCGCTCTGTAAAACACACCAATCAGCAGGATCCTAAAAGTAGCCAATTGCAGGGAGGATTGAAAAAAAGGGCACTCTGATAGGACAAAAACAGAACATGGGAGGGGCCAATGCGGGAATAAAAGTTGGCCGCCCCAGCCAGCAGCGGCAACCTGCTGGTGTCCCCTTACATGCTGTGGAAGCTTTGTCCTTTTGCTCTTCACGATAAACCTTGCTACCGCTCACTTGTTGGGTCCATGTGATCTTTAAGATCTGTAACACGGCAAAGGTCCCTGACTCCATTCTTGAAGTCAGCAAGACCACAAACCCACCGGCAGGAACCAACTACGGACATAATACCACATGGCAATCTCTGTTCTAAGCATTGATGTGTACAGGTTATTTACTCCTCATAAGAACACTGAAAGATAATTGCTACTTACTGGCTCCTTCTTAAGATGAGTAAGCTAGGGACAGATACTCATGATTGGCTGAAGACTTCAGAACTTGTCTGTGGCAGAGCAGAGATGAGAATTAAATTACCTAGCCACCATTTCTTGGAATTTAAACACATTGTTATGCCACCTCTTAGTATATGTAATTAATGACATGCAGTTCACAGAATTATGTTATTTAAATTATATTGGACAGAAATAAAAAAATTAGTATGGTTGACACTTGAACATAATGAGCTTGAGCTGTGTGCATCCCCTTATATATTTTTTAATTAAAAAAATCAGCATCTGCATTGAAATGTGGATCAAAATACAGTATCCACGGGATGAAAAACCCGCAGATATGGAGGACTGACTTTTTGTATACTCTGGTTCCACAGGATTACTTGAATATGTGCTGATTTTGGTATCCTCTGGGGGCCTGGAATCAATCTCTTGAGGATATCAAGGAACCACTGTATTTTTATTTAAAATGACAAGAGTAGAGAATATATGCAGATATATCCCGAGGAACATCTTTTAGGTATATGCTTTTCTATTTTAATTCCTCTTAAAAAAACACATCTTAGAACTTACAATGTATCGATATAAAAATGTGGCCATTATTTATGTAGGAAAAGTTTATATACTCCTCTGGAGGGTAGGAAATAAGACTGCAGTGCACATGGGGTTCTGCCACTCACAGTGTAGGATGTTTCACCATGTCTTCCTGAAATGATTTGCAAATAGTCAAGAACAAATGACTGTGGTGATAGAGATATATTTATTGCTGCCACCTTGTTCCCACTTCACCGTTGCATATTTGTACACAGGACACATATTTAGTCTTTTAAGTTTAGATTTTACTGAGAAATGAGGACCTTATCTGGACTTCATTGGGAGAATTATGAGTGGCCGGAGATACTAAATTTTGAGCTGGATGCCAGACCTTGAAAGAACTCTGCATTTTTCATTTTGAGAGGAGAAGTCGGTGTGTTTTATAATGGGAGGAAGATTAAAGCAGATACTTTGGCATCAGAAGGACTGACCTTGACAGAGACTGGTGAGATGATAACATTATTTCCTCCTTTGGACCATACGGAAATGCTGTATTTTTCAGCCTCAGTTGCAGGTAGGATGAGACCATTTCACTGGTGAATGAAATGTAGGTTAAAGTTATATTTCCCACTTTTAGACTGAGCTATAAGATACCTCACACAATGCTTCTCATACTCCTCTTTATATTAAATGCAGAGGATTCAGTGAAAACCTTTAAGGAATTTCAGAAAGTTAATCCTCTACTGAATTATTATATGAATGAGAAGAAAAAAATTGTGTTAAGTCACAGATATTTGCAGTTTGGTTCAGAAACTAATATTAATTACCCTGACTAATATACTGAGATACTAGTGATGATTCTGCAATCACTGCTTTTACAGTGAAAGAGAACACAGTAGCATGCATGGATAAATTTAAGGTGATAAACATTAGGATTGCTTACATATTTTTTGGCTTCTTCATACACATGGTAGGATATAGCCCACTGCCCTGTTGAATTCAGTTATAGAATGTGATTTCCTTTTGCTTATTGAAATGTTAGTAGACTAAAGTGTCTGTTGCCTTCTAGAGGCGAAAATTCAGAGTGTGCCTCACAACGTTCTGTTTTTCCTTGACTACAGTAACTTTCAATGTTCTGGAGTGGCTGTTTTGTCCCCTAGATCCTGGTATAAAGGTGAAAATGACCCATGAGTAGAGTCATAAGCAACACCATGGACATGTGAAATGAGCAACTTATGAATGAATTGATTTAGGCTCCTGACGTTTAGAAATTGTTTTGTTATCACTCAGCTTAGTTTTTCTGATGTAATTTAATTGCTCTAAGGAAGCAGTATCTGCTGTGATTTGTTACTGTCTCTTACTGCCCAGTGGTTGGCAAGGCCAAAAGTTCTAGACATGGCAGTATTCTGAGAGTTGAGAGCCAATATATTTTCTTGGCAGTGCTCATGCTCATGGTGCACTTGAAGCTGTGTTGTTGCTGCCATCGGAACACCACAAGCCAACCTCGTTTCTTCCATGGTTGCACTCTTTATGCATGCAATTACAGACCTCAGGTTTGTCTGACATGAAATAAACATACACAGGCATCATGATGGTAATCAACTGATTGCTTCGATGTGACTGGTCTTTGTAGGTCTTGAGAGTATCAGCCTGGAAAAACAAGCTTTTAACTTTAATAATTTCAGCAAGGTAATATAAAGGGAAGTTCCACATATAGGTCTGGATCAAGTTTTTCTATGAAGTAGTGGCCAATTAGAAAAGTTTCCTAGACAACCCTAGCAAAAAAATTGTGTAAAGATTCCATTCACTTATTACACAAAACAGTATATTTTATGAGTGCTACCTTTTACTTTGGCCATTAGATAAAAGGTCTCTTCACCCTTCTTTTGTAGTGTTTCGCCTAAATATTTGGGCATATAGCTATAACCCATCATTCCCTTTTGAAAACAAAGAATAATAACCAAAGTAATATAATCTAAACCTGCTTTAAAGTCCAAGTGTAGTTTATGTTATATGTTCCTGTAATTATTTGTCATCTGTGGCTCAAATCCCTTTTACTAAAATACTTTGCACTTCACCATAAACAAACTTGTGCAAACAAACAAGACACAGAAGCGATATAAAACTCCCAAAATCAAGTTACTAAGTTTCAGTGACAAATAAACCTGAATGTGTAATTAAATAGATTATAATAATGCTGAAAATTCTGTATTTTAGGTTCTTTATGATCTAGAGTTCTTCACATGTATTTAATAAACCATTCCAAGTGCTATATTTCTTGCTAATAAAACCAAATAACAATGTTCAGGGTAAATTTTAATGAATTAATGCTTATAATGTAAACTATGCTTTCATCCATTTTATTCAGAAGCACACGATTAATTATACAACAGATATTTTTATATGAATGTTCAGGGTAAAGACTATTTTTATTTGCTTGAATGACAACATAATTTATTAAATGAATAAATACATGGATTCGTCTTCTCCATCACCATTTCAGGCATGTTTTTGTGACATCTACCTTCTTCACCGTGAACTCCTTCCTAACCAACCATTATATCTAAAATAAATTATTAGCAAACATAAATAATGTGCTGTTCCAGAGCTACCTCACATGAGCTAGATGATGGGAGGCATAATTAATAATAAACAGACCCTACCTTTAAATTCTATAAAGCCACAGCATTTAAATTATAACTATGCTACAGAGCAGTAACCTATTTTCCTATTAATTATATCCCATAAAAGCAATATACCTTCACTAATTAATTATACTCGAAGTAACAACTATGGCTTAATTAAATGAACCATTCCTAATAATGAAACCTTAAAATAATTGGACTCTTCTGTCTAGAGGCAGTAACAATTATTGTCATTGGAAAGGATTTCAAACATGGCTATGCTAAGCAAAGCTGATTTATAACTGACATTGAACCTGAGATTTCCTAGAGCAGTAGCTCTCAAAACCTTTCGTTAAGGGCCAACTATTATTTTAGAATGTATGTGCCATGTGATCTCTGTCACAAGTACCAATATTTGCCATCGTAGTGCATAAGTAGCCGTAAACAATATGTAAAATAAAAGGATGTCACTTTATTCTAATAAAACTTTGTTTACCAAAATGCATCAGTGGCCTGATTAGCTCTGTGCTTTGTAGTTTGATGACCTCTTATATAGAATCGAATTATTGAACTCATCTCTACTATGTTTCTAGATTTTCTAGTGTTGTATTCTAGGTTTCTATCTTTCTCATCTATCCATCTTAATGGTTAAGTTTTACAAATCCTTATTATATATAATATTATTTAAATTATATTAATCTGCATTTAACACACATCTTTCTCTATTTTGTAATTTAGCATTTTTGAGCCATTAAAGTTTAAATTACAGTAGAGATGTAGACATTATGTAAAGGTATATTACTTTGTTGTATATGTTCATAAAAGACAATAATGGCCACATTGAAATGACACAATACGATCCACCAAAAGCAAGTAAGGCAGAGATTGTGTACATAAGTAACCAAGTACAAGTTCTGTCCTTTAAGTGAACCCTTACATCATTATTATTCCCTTATGGTGGAAATTCCAGAAGTAGATAGCACATAAATTTTACATCTTATCTGATATATGGATACCTTTTTTATCAAGTATTCCTTTTTTTTTTTTTTTTCCTTTTTCTGAGATGGAATCTCGCTCTGTCACCCAGGCTGGAGTGCAGTGGCGCGATCTCGGCTCACTGCAAGCTCTGCCTCCCGGGTTCACGCCATTCTCCTGCCTCAGCCTCCTCCCGACTAGCTGGCACTACAGGTGCCCATCACCACGTCTGACTAATTTTTTCTATTTTTAGTAGAGACGGGGTTTCACCGTGTTAGCCAGAATGGTCTCGATCTCCTGACTTCATAACCACCCACCTCGGCCTCCCAAAGTGCTGGAATTAGAGGCGTGAGCCACCGCGCCCAGCCCATATGCCTTCTTTTATTCATGGTTTACTAATTATAATATTCTATTTATATAATTGAGAATTCCTTGTTCCGTTTTTCTTTTTCATTTTCTTTCATCCCAGTCAATCATTTTCAGTCAAAATGTATATATATATATATATATGTGTGTATATATATATGTGTGTGTATATATATATATACGTGTATATATATATGTGTGTGTATATATATATATACACGTATATATATATATATATAGATGGGAAAGAAATACAGAGCAATCTAGGAAGCATTGTGAAAAATGGTGTGAACGTATGTATCAAAAAGTAATATTACAATTTTATTCAGTATCCCATCCAAACTTTTCCCCTGCAGGACTTTCATGCTTGCTATTGTCAAATCTTCTCCCTTCTGCATAACTTTCATTTATCTTCTCTATTATTGCTATTGTCACATAAATGTGCTTTTATATATCACATTAGAAGAATAGTAATTCTCCTCAGTCTACATGTCTCACAAATATAGAACTACTTTTTTTTCTTCTTTAGAGCAAACTTTCTCAAAAGTATTCAGAAAAGTACAATGTGTAAAACAAGCAGCAAGAGAGGACATCTGTGTTAGGCTGAATAATGGCCTCAAGAGATGTCAGGTCTTAATCCTTAGTACCTGTAAATGTAAGCTTTTGTGGCAAAGAGACTTACAGATGTGAATAAGTGAAGAATTTTGTGATGGAAGATTATCATGAATTATCTTGGTGGGCTCTAAATGCAATCTTAAGTGTCCTTATAAGAGTGATGGAGAGGGAGATTTGACATAGAATCTAGGTTATGTGATCATGGAAGTGGAGAAATATTTGAAAATTATACACTGCTATCTTTGAAGATAGAAGAAGGGGACTTTGAGACAAGAAATGTAGTTCTAGAAGCTGCATTTCTGGAATAATTTCTAGAATTACTCTCCCCTGAGTTCTCTGGAAAAAATAGAATGCTGATCACACCTTGGTTTTAGACCACGGATACTGATTATGAATTTCTGGCCTTCAGAACTATAAGAGAAAAAGTCTGTGTTGCTTTAAGCTACCCATTTTGTGGCAATTTGTTACAGCAGCATAGGAAAATAACAGAGAATCTCTTCTTGTTCCCAGGTTGAAAAGCAAGTCTTCTAACATTCCCACATTATTATGTCATAAGATATTGTTTATAGGATTTCAAAAGATACACTTTATCAACTTAATGAAGTGCCTTTTAAATCCTAGTTTAATAAGAGCATATATATGTATAGTAAATTAATGATGAATTTTATCAAATACTTCTTTGTATCAATATCTGTTAGGATACAGATCTTATGTATCTGCATCTACTGAAATGATGTGATTTTTCTCATTTACTCTGTGAATGTGATGAATAATATTCTTTTTAATTGAATCTCAATTATAGAGAATTGAATTAATCATCATTTTGATTAATGACATACTTTCATCTTATGCCTATTCATGGTCATCTTTTATATGTAGGTAATTAAATAATAACTTTTACAGTGTTGGAAGCAACCAGCATATAGCACCCTGCATAAAAGCTAAAACCTGAAGAATGACCACATTTAGCCATACAGTTTCTCACTCCCATCTCATCCTCTATAATTACCAGTGTTTGAAACACAACCTCTTTCTTCTCTAAACCACTAGCTGAAATCTAAACTCAGCACTCCAACCTCCCACTTATTGATTTCTGCTAGGCTTCTTGACGTCTCACCTTGTGCATACATATCTTTGATACTGGCCACACTTAAGGGGCATTTGTATGCAGATATTCAGGCTCTCTCTCTGTGGTTACCTCCTTCTTGGAAATTGGTCTTGTGAGCCCCATACACACTGGATACCCTTAACTCTAATCTCTGTCCCCTCAACACAGTAAAATTTCACTTTCTGTGTATGCTTTCTTTCTTCACATCAGTATTTGGGAAATGTTATTAGAGGAAAAACATCTGAGTGAATGTAATTTGTAGTCTATAATTATTTCTTTTTAATAATAATCCCACTCAAGCTCTGTATACATTGATTCTTCTTCAGTGTCTTCCAACAGTTGTCTAACATATTTTGCCCAGCTTTTATAGACAACTTCAGGGTGTGAGTTTGTGCTACTTTATCATGGCCTGAACCTGAAATCCTCTAACATATATTGAAATGGATGGTTATTATAGCTCATGTTGCATTTCTTGTGTTTCCAATAAGTTTTTAGATTTTCTATTTCTCCACAATTCTGGAATTAAGAATCCATTTGTTTCATTCTAATCTAGTTTCTTATACATAATGCTAAAGGGAGTGTTGTTTTAATGGCCATCAATAACTTCTACGTGGGCACCATTCGCATTTCCCAAAGTCTCAGCAGCATTTCAAATTATTGAAAATTTCTCCCTCTTCAAAACATTATTCATTATAGAGTTCTTTAAAAATATGCCAACCTTGCTTTTCTTCTTGCCACCTCAGCTTTTTATTCCCAACTCAATTTCAACACATTTATTTTTTCAGCTCATTTGGCATTAATTTCTATTGTCTGTTTCAACTCTTCCTTGGTGATTTAACAATAAAAATAAATAATTCCTTTAAAAGGCTCGTAAGTGCCGGTAACTCCCATAGCTTTACTTTTACCTTTGACTATTCTTCAACCTTCAGACTTAGACACAAAGTTATTTAATTACCATCTTGCATTTCTCTCATGCCAAACGTCCACATGACTGATAGTCCTGTTACTTCTTTCGTCAAAGTATATATCAGATGCATTCACTCTTTCTATCGCCATTGCTACTATTACTGTTTTAGTCAATTCTGGCTGCTATCACAAAGACCTATAGACTAGGTGGCTTAGAAACAACAAAAATCAATTTTTTCACAGTTCTAAAGGCTAGAAGTCTGAGACCATGGTACCAGAGTGACCAGGTTTCAGTGATATCTCTCTTCTAAGTTGCAGACTACCATTTTCTTCTTGTATCCTCACATGTCAGAGAGTGAGAGAACTCTCTTGGGTCCCTTATATAAGGGAACTAGTTCCATTTAGAAGGGCTCCAACCTCATGATGTAACCACCTCCTGAAAGTGCCACCTCCTAATACCATCATATTAAGGGTTAGGATTTCCACCTATAAGTTTCAGGGACAGGGTGGCAACAGCCATGCAGTCCATTGCAATCACTATCCAAGACATCACCATCATCATTATCTCCATTCTATATTTGGATAATAGTCTCTGACTTTGTCTTCTTGCATTTATTCTTTTTCCCTAAAGTGATTCTTCAAAGAGTAATGTCAAAGAGAACCAGAGCCAGAGGGTAATTAAAGCAGTAAAGAAAGATTTTATTCAGAAATTATTGCAACACAGAAAAAGAGACTTTAGTAGAGAAATGAGCTCAATTCCAAATACAGGCACACATGGAAATTTATAGCAAAAGAGCAGTGTGAGGGGGTCAGTGGATGGAAAATTACTAAGAGGAGACATCAAAAGTAGGGGAACTCTTGCTAAACCAAATTAACAGGATTCTTGCTGAAGGCAGCTCAGGGTGATCAGATATCAAGATTCTCTCCATATGGACTTAAGGATTCTTGTTAAAAGTGAGCTATGGAGACTAGGCAAGGGGCCTAGGTGAAGATCTAGCTGAGAGGAGAGCTCAAAAATCTGACTAAAGTTTGATGAAGGAGAGAGTCTTTGTCAGTATTTGTGTTAATTTTTTTTAATTACTAAAAGTGGGGCTTGTTTGCATTCTTCAAGGACTTACCAATTAATAAGCTATGTTAAAATCTCCAGTTTTAATGTCTATTTCTTCTTTCAACTTCTGTTATTTCTGCTTTATGAAAATTGTAATTTTGTGCATGTTATTAATATATATTTTATTTTTAATGTAGAATGAAGCATGAAGCCTTCTGTAGAATAAATTTCCCTTCCTTATCCTGTTAAATTTATTTTGTCTTAAATTCTATCTTGTCTCATAGCAAAATTCTGACAACTATTTCAGGATCTTGCTATCATACAAGATCTATCTTTGCTCTTCTTTTTACATTAAACCATTCTGAATTGCCTTGTTCAATATGTTTATTGCACACAGAATAGATTGGATTCTGCTCCATTAGCCAATCTAAAAGTACGCCATTTAATGGTGAGTTAAGCCCATTTGTGTCTTTGATATACCTGTTATGCTGGTGTTAAGTTCTGTTATATAAGCTTTTGCTATATAAATAATTTATATAAAATCTTGCCCTGTATTGACACTTTAATTTAAGGGGCAGGATATACTCATTTGGTATTTATAAATGTTTCTATGTTTATTCTTATTATTATCTTATAATAATATTATAATAAAATATACTAGTCCTCTAGTGTGTTTTAATACTGCCTATTGATTTCATTGATTTCTTCAATGAGTAGTAATACTGTTCTCTAGTAAACTCTCTTTCCTTTCTTCTCTCTTTTTGCTTAACATTTACTTTAGTTCCATATTTTTTTAATGGCAGTTAGATACTCCTGAGATAGTCATTAAGATTCGTCTACTTTCTTTTTCTTCTCCTTTTTTCTGTTTGTTGTTGAGTTGCATTATTTCTTCATGGTTAACACACTTAATAGCATCATGTTTTGTCACTTTAATCCCCATTACTTGTTCTTAATTATAAAATTAAACATATTTAGTCCTTATCCAGAAGCCTCACATGATGTTTGTCTTACTGTCAGTAAGTAGGACATTTCTAAAAAAGCCATCGCAGGAACAATGTTTTTTAAAATCATAAATATTCATGATGTTCTACATTCCTTAGACATGATTCATAGTTTGGATGAATAAAATCTCATCTCACTACTGTGTTATCTGTTTCATAATCATTAAACCATTTCTTGATTATCATCCTGTATAAAATGTTGCTATCAAGAAGTCTATTATCAATATAAACTTCTTATCCTTTTACCTTCATGCTCAAATAATTAATATTATTATTTTAATTTTTGTTCTTAGAAATAACCATTACATGGGTATTACTATTCTTTGCCTAAGTTCTATGTTTAGAAAATTTTTAGATGTTTTTAATCTCTCAATTTCTGTTTTTTACTCTTATTTTTATACTCTGTATCTCTGACTATAGTTTGTACCACTTCTATTTGATTTTATGTACCTTCAAATTATTTTTTCTAAAAATTGTTTTCCAAAAATTATCTTACTTGTCTCAGATTATCTGATTCTCTGATTAATTTTGATTTTGTTCCAATTGTTTTTCTTCAGGGTAAGTATTTTTCTTTTGGGAGTGAGCATTATTGATGATTTCTTGTTGTAGTTTATTGATATTAAGATCTTACAATACTTCCTTTTATCTTCATTTTATCTTTGCCATTAACTCCAGCTGGTACTGGCCCTATGCTGCCAATGGTTAGGACAATTACTCTTGTATTCTGGGTTTTATGCTGATTATTTGTCACCTGTTTTAGTTGGTGATGTCACCCATGGGTTTTTCAATTACTTCTCCTAACTCCTCTGCCTGGCGTTTGGTACAGATCCAGACATAAATGAAAGAAAAGGAGATAGATAGATGGATAGATAGATGGATAGATAGATAGATAGATAGATAGATAGATAGATAGGATAGATTAGATAGATAAATAGATAGATAGATACATATTTACATATGTACTTACATACCATAGTTTGCTGCTGAGAGTCTCTCCAGTTTATTTTATTTAATATTCTCATAATCTAGAAGCTGTTCTCTACAATGATAAAATAATCCAACTCTCAGGCAATACTGAGCAAAATATAGCATAACTAATATCTCAACATACTTGACCCTATATTTTATATGAAAATAAATGAGGCTGGGCGCAAAGGCTCATGCCTATAATCCCAGCACTTTGGGAGGCCGAGGCGGGTGGATCACTTGAGGTCAGGTGTTTGAGACTAGCCTGACCAACATGGTGAAATCCCGTGTCTACTAAAAAAAATACAAAAATTAGCCAGGCATGTTGGTGCATGCCTGTAAGCCCAGCTACTTGGGAGGCTGAGGCAGGAGAATTGCTTGAACCTGGGAAGTGGAGGTTGCAGTGAGCCGGGATCATGCCATTGCACTCCAACTTGGGCAACAAGAGCAAAAAATCTCTGAAAAAGAAAAGAGTAAAACACTTTTGGTTGCTCTCTGTTTTAGTAATATGTTATTTATTAGGTAATGTGATACATATTAAGTAAAGTGGGATTTTTCTTAGAGAAGATATTTGTCTCTATTGAGGTAGCAAAATAAATATGTATAGATTGAATGAATTTGTCTCCCTTTAGGTTTAAATAAGAAATGGGTGTGTGTGTTTTTTTGGCCTATTCCTATTTTTCCTGGCTTATTCATATTCTAATTCCTCTTGTTTATATAATTATTCACTTTGATCACCTCATATATCTTATCTTTTTTGGGTAGCCTAAAAGCAAAAATATTCTTACAGTCTAGTCACCATTTGCTGTGCTTTCTTATTATTGTACTTGTTTAGCACAAACTTGATGCTGATTCTACTTCTCATTCTTCATGACAAAACAAGCGGAAAAAAATATCTGGGAATTGGCTCTATGACATGGCTAAATAACACTAATATGAGCCTTGTGCTCTTAATCTATAAAATGGGAATAATAAAAATAGCAAGTCTGTAATCACT
Source organism: Homo sapiens (assembly GCF_000001405.40). Classification (NCBI taxonomy): domain Eukaryota; kingdom Metazoa; phylum Chordata; class Mammalia; order Primates; family Hominidae; genus Homo; species Homo sapiens. The sequence goes on along the minus strand of NC_000004.12, from coordinate 131,902,117 downwards.
GCTATATGAAAACCCCGAGTTTTTTGAGTGCTTCTGGGAATACCTAGTAAAGAAAACATATCTGTGTGCTTTATCTTTTAATAGTTAAAAACAGTTTTGACAATAAGTAGCTTATATTTATTAGTTATTATAATATGTATAACTGTAAATAGGTATTAGTTATTATAATATACATGTACATATAACACATTCATATAAACTATAAGTAGTTTATATGTATTAGTAATTATAATATACCTATTATAATAACTAAGAATAGAAAGGCAATGTAGAAACTAAGAGTTATATAATACCCATAGTAATTAATCAATATGCAAATACTATTTTTAGTATTTTTATACTATTTGTATATGTATTCATTACTTTATGTATATAATTCTTTATATAATTCTTAGGTTCTATAATACCTTTATTCTGTATATTTTGAATTATGTATTTAATAGCCTAATATATTTCTAATTTGCAGAAAACAAGGAAAATTGTCTTCCTTCAATGATTATAAGTATGCATTTCTTTATCCAGGGAGGCTAAAAGGCAAGATCATAACAAGCTATTATATGGAAAATTATTTCTTCAAAATATTCCTTTTAAAATTGAGGCAACAGAATCATTTTTCCCTCTCATTGTATGTTTAATCTAAAATTGTTTCAACAACAATATGTAGATTGCCAGTTCAAGTTCTCAGGTGTAACAAGACTCACATTTCTTTGTTATACAATACAATATAAATATAAAGTAAAACATTATATTAAAATGAAAGTTTTATAATATTTAGACATTAATATCTCAGCCTTTCATTAGCATATTATTTGAAGAAACGCGTTCACTTTTTCACAGGTTACTTCCTTGCTCCTGAAAATGACAATGTTCTATTTTCTACTATTTCTGTCTAAAAATTTAAACAGGTTAGTATATCCTCTGCATAAATGCTACAAAATACAATGCACAATAATTTTGTTATAATTACTAAATGTTAGTAAAAAATTTGATTAGTTTTCCTAATAATTGTTTCCTTATTTTTCATATCTATATATGCAATCATTCTAAAGTTAAGAACTGACTACTCTCTTGATAATGGAGAAATCTTTCAACACACAAAAACAAAATTTTTATTGTCTTTTAAATAGGTCCTGAGAAGAGGATTAGAAAAAGGCAACACATCAAAAAGTTAAGAGGCAGAAATAGCTTTTATGTTGCTGGTAAATTTAATGAGATCTTAAATTATTCGACTGGCAAGTCTCATCTCTGAGCATTTCAGTGAAGACTGTCAGAAATCATCAAAATTCAACACAACAGAGTAAAAGCTAATAGCCTTTTTGTTATACCAAAACTGAAAGGATTGGTAAGACTCAAAATGAATGCTATTACTGAAAATCTTCTTTAATTCTTTGTGCAGTGAGTGAAAATTGAACAAATACATATCCTTTTTATGGTGTTAAAATGAATTCTGACACTATTAAACAAATATTCTTTTGTCCTAAGACCTCCTCAATACTTCTTTCACAAGTAGTATTATTAGAATATCCTATGTGACTCTAGTTCATAATATTCTGGCTATCATTTGATTATTTTCTGTGAAATAAAAATGAAGCACTCTATTTTTTAAAAAATACTGTGTTTTGATGAAGAAGGAAGTTTTTGAGTGGTTATCACATTAGAGAAATTTTTATTGTAATCAACCTTTGATAATTTCTGACATGATTAATATTTATCTTCTTTTCTAGATGTTCTTAAGTAACAAAAAGCAATAAAGATAAAATACAGGACATCAAAGATATCACATACATTCATATATCTCAAGCAATGAAAGAGCTGTGATATGATCCATATTTTTTGTTTATTGACAACTAATGCAAAATTCCAAACAATAATGAAGCAACTACAGATTTGGGGAAAATAGTAAATCAGAAAGAGCAATTGAGAGAGCCTTTTTAGAAAAAAGTTTTCTCCTTTGGAATTATGTTACATTTTGAGTAATTATTATGATATTCAACCATTAATTTATACATTTGTTTTTAATTTAACATATATTTTGAGTACTAAATATATCAGGCACTATTATAGGTGCTTGTGCTAATTAACAACCAGTTTTCTAGAATGTGTAAAGTGCCATAGAAAATACCTCTTGGGTTCTATGCTGACTACCTGGATGATGGGTTTAGTCATACCCCAAACCTCAGCATCATGCAGTATACTCTGTAACAAACCCTCACATATATCCTCAAATCTAAAAGTTGAAATTTAAGAAAATAAAAATAAAAAGCAAATAATTATATTAAGTATATTAACTAAAACAAAACTAAGTGATTCCGTTTTAGAAAAAGAATTTAGAAATAAGGGGGAGTGGAGACTAGAATAACACGGTGTTCAATCAGAATCAAAACTATCAACATATACTTCACTTTACTTTTTTTCTACGTTAGATAGGAATTGAGAAGAATGTGTAGATATATAAATAGACCTAGATGCACATGTTTGTGTGTGAATGTGTATATTTCTTTTTTTTTTTTTCTTTGAGATGGAGTCTTTCTCTGTCGCTCAGCTTGGAGTGCAGTGGCCCGATCTCGGCTCACTGCAAGCTCTGCCTCCTGGATTCATGCCATTCTCCTGCCTCAGTCTCCCAAGTAGCTGGAACTACAGGCACCTGCCACCACGCCCAGCTAATTTTTTTGTATTTTTAGTAGAAACGGGGTTTCACTGTGTTAGCCAGGATGGTCTCGATCTTCTGATCTCATAATCTGCCCATCTCGGCCTCCCACAGTGCTGGGATTACAGGTGTGAGCCACAGCGCCCGGCCGAATGTGTGTATATTTCTTAATTTTAACCACTAAGACTAGAAGCAATAACATTTTAATAGCAATCAGTACATCTAGCATTCAAATCTTGGATTCACTCTTTTCTTCTTTAAAAGGATACAGAGCTCCTTGGAACAATGCCTGATTCTAGGTGCATGGGGCAGAAAGAACAAAATGGGTCTGAGACATCTGTTGTTGTTAAGAAAATAAGGAAGTCTCAACTAATGATGGAGACATGCCAAAGAACATAGGAGCTAACTAGAAGTGGCTCTCAGTGACCCAAACTGAGATAAATTGAGCAAGGGAATAAATAATGATGGCAATAGATTATTCAGATTAATTAAACCAAATACACATGAATCCACACTAATATAAATAAATAATGGGATAAATAAGAAAAGGGGGACAAAGGAAAGCTTTTCCATACAGTAGAATTCTAATCAATAAATATAGAAAGAATACTGGAAATAGATTCTCATTTCTTGGCAAATACCATATAATTGTTGCAGACAAGTCTACTAAAATTAGTGGATACAATTATGAGAAACAAGATATTTACATAATCTCCAAGTATCTCTCAACAAAATACTGATTTTAAAAATGGTAACTTTGAAGTGGAGAAATGTGGCAGACAATATCTTATGCAAGTGATCAGAGTTAACGTCAACAATATTAGGACACGATGATATCATGTGCCTCCTGATATGATGCACTGAGAAGGACAACTTCGGCATTGTGGCATTCTTGCCAAAATATATTATGTGAATTTAACCATGAAGAAATATTAGAAAAAAAATCAAACTTCAGAATAATCTACAAAAAGCAAGTATCAAGGGCATGAAAGACAAAAAGAAAAGCTGAATTTTCTTTTTTAACATTTTTTTTTTTGAGATGGAGTCTTGCACTGTTGCCCAGGCTGGAGTGCAGAGGCGCGATCTCTGCTTTCTGCAAGCTCCGCCTCCTGGGTTCACGCCATTTTCCTGCCTCAGCCTCCCAAGTAGCTGGGACTACAGGTGCCCACCACCACGCCAGGCTAATTTTTTTGTACTTTTAGTAGAGACGGGGTTTCACCGTTTTAGCCAGGATGGTCTCCATCTTCTGTCATCGTGATCCGCCTGCCTCGGCCTCCCAAAGTGCTGGGATTACAGGTGTGAGCCACCGCGCCCGAATAAAGAAAACTAAAGAAATATAGCAGCTAAATGCAATATGTGACCCTGATTTTGATCATAGTTAAAAAACGTTAGTGGAACCATGAACAAAATATGTAAATAAGGTCTGTAGGTAAGTAACTAATTCCATATCAATTTCCTAATATGAGTAACTGTACTCTTAGATACGGTGTTAGCAGTCAAGAAGCTGGGTGAAGAATATATAGGAATTCTTGATTTTTTAAAATATATTTTTGTAAGCTTTAAAGTAGTTCAAAATGAAAATTTTAAAATAAAATGAATAAAAAAGAAAAAGGATAGTATGGATCTTCTGAAGTATTGTGCTAAATATGAAATTCATGGTCCATCCCTGAGGTCTTTTATATTACAGTGTTTAAGATATAAAATAAATGTAAAGAAAACCAAAGAATGATAGATAGTGATGAAAGTTATCACTATTTCTGGATAAACCATGTTCTATGATAGCACATAACTGGTGATAGCTTGGAGTCATGCGAAGACCTCTCCAAGAAAATGAAATGTAAAGTGATGACTTAAATATGGAAAAGGAACCATTTGATTAACAAGCCAAACTATGAAGCTTCAAAGACAAGATGTTACTTTGTGCAAAACCCTGACATGGGGAAAAACTGTGTTTCAAGAGTGGAAAGAGCCCTGTCTCATTAGGAGTGAGGGGCTTGAATGGTGCCTGTGGTTGTAGACAGCAGAGCAGAGCTTTAGCATCCTGGAGATTTGAATTTTGTACTCCACAAGTAACTAAAGGATTTAAAGCAGAGGAGGGAAAGAATCTTACTTACATTACAAAAAATAAGAAAGAAAAAGAAGAAATAAAAAATAGAAAAAAATGTAATATATGTTGTTATTATTACATTGGTTTATAATAATTGGTTTATATCTAATTTGTTTCCCTGTGTTTATAATACATATATATCTCTGCCTCTTAAACCAAGAATAATTTTTACAGGGACAAGAATAAACACAAGGAAATGAATTAGAAAACTATTAAAGTGAAAGGACAAGAAGGTGGAGACCTTGTTCAAAATAATGAAATACAGATTTAAGATATGTGCAAGTTTGAAGAAAAGAGCTACTGATAGATAGGGTTTTGGTGTATTAGATAAGATAAAATCAATGGGAACACCAGCTGAAGTAAACAAACAAACATACACACACAAACTGGGAAGCAGAGAAAATAACAAAACTCTACTTAAAACATTATGAATCTCAGTTGTCTATAAAACAATCCACATTTGATATTAAGTAAGTAGATGACTATGCAAAGCTCTAACTCAGAGAAGATACCAAGATTGGTAATATTCTGAGATGCTATCATGTAACTGGCCTTTAAACCCATGAAAATGCTTGAGAACACTCAGGGGAAAAAGTGAGTAAGTAGAGAAAAAAGAAAGTACTCAGCTAAGTGGGTTGAAGACAGTACAGGAAATATTGAAGGAGACTGTCTATTGCTTGATTTCTTTCAAAGAAAGAATACAAAGTAAGTTGATAACTGAAGAACAACGGTAAGTCAATGTAAACTTTTAACAAAAAGGGAATTATTCATTAATGAGAATGATAATACTAAAATGAGAGGGAGAGCTAAGGGACAGAATTTTGATAGAAGAAAATAGTTCAGATATGGAATGGAGGGAAAAATAGTAGTAAATGGAGACAAATTGTAAAACTTGTGTTGAAACTGTTCTTGTCTGATTAATTCTATTTACTTAATATTGGGAGATCCCATCAATTTAGCATAAGACATGTGGTAACTTTGTAGAAGGTTATTGTTATGAATGTTGTGGGAGTGAATGCACTGGGAAACTAAAATAGAATGTTTGGCACTGTTGAGTATCCTTTTAAGTTTTGTAATTAATTGAAATCATGTTATTAGTTACAACGTGGATGAGCCTGGAGGACATTATGTTAAGTGAAATAAGACAGGCACAGAGAGAGAAAAACCACATGTTCTCACTTATATGTGGGAGCTAAAAATGAGCTTATAAAAGTAACAAGTAGAATTGTAGTTATCAGAGGCTGGAAAGGATGGGAATAAGAAGAGGATGGAAAGAGGTTGGTAAGCAAAGTTAACTTTGTAACAAAGTTGTAGTTAGAAGGGAGGAATAGCTCTTAGTGTTCTGTAGCACTGTAGGGTGAATTAAGTTAACAATAATTTAGTGAATTTTTTTAAAAACCTACCAGACAGAATTCTGAATATTCACATCACAAGGAAATGACAAATGTACAAGGTGATAGATATGCTAATTACTCTGATTAGATTATTTCATATTGTATACATGTATCAAAATATCACTCTGTAGCCCATAAATACGTATAATTATGTGCCAACTAAAAATAAAAGAAAAAATAGAATTCAAAATATAATCAATGTTCAACAAAAGCTTGTTAAATTGAATAAAGACAAAGAAGCTATTGAAAATGATTTTTAATTCTGAATTTAAATTAAAATAATCTAGCTTAATTATGTCATTTTCCCCCCAGAATTCTTAAGCTTTTTGGATGCTAGCCCATTAAAAAAAGAAAAAAATTGGAATCATATTGTTTACTCTAATAACCTAGTCTAAATCACGATTCTAGAGAGAAGTGGTAAAGACTCAAATTGTTATTATATTAGAAACTTAGCCTCTGAAGGCAATATTAGGGAAAAAGAAATCTAGGCCACAATGAGAATGAGAGTAGTTTACACAGGAAAAGGAAGAATCAGAGAGATTATTGAAAATGCCATCAACTAAGCATAATTCAAACAGAAGACAACATATATATATATATATATATATTTTTCACCTAGGATTAGTAAATCAAGAAAATTGTATTACAATTTTATTGGATGGTGAGTTCTATAATATACTAAGTATAAAAAAATAAGTAAAAGACTTGACATATACCATAATAAAATATTTAATAAGAACATATCTAGTAAGTACATAGAAATATATAAATAAAAACAGCTTTATTCAATAAGTATTTGTGACTATTATATATCTTATCTCATTTATCTTCACATTATTTTTGTAGGATAAATATTACTAATTTGATGTGTTGGTTGCAAAAAGGGTAATGTCACTAAAAGAAGTCAGATAGCCTGATTAAGGTTTTACATTCATTCATTAAGTGACAGATATATAATGAGAACACAATTTCTCTTATTATATCAAACTACCTGCTAAACAACAAAAGGAGTTTGATGATTTAATTACATATACTTTATCTTAATTCCCAAAGTGTATTAATATGGAAGGGCATTCTTTGTTGGTATTTGATGAGGTTAGAATTAAGAATTTAAAACTTATTGGTATAAACGTATACCTAATTTAAATCATTTAAGTTATGATATGTTAAGCTGACTAATACATGCTTGAATTAGTTACTACTTTTGAAAAATTCTGTGTCTCCCCACACCTTCCTCATTCCACTTCGCTAGTTATTATGTTTCTTTTTTAATTTATGAAGATGGAATATAATGCCCAATTCATAATACTGTTTTTCAGGTACAAATTTGGCATAGACAATACTGAAATACATGTGATGACATTTACAGTAGCAATTCAAATTAAAAGAGAAAAGTGTCTTTCTAAACCATCTTCAAGTAAACACTTGCCATTTATTTCTACTAGCAAATATTTCTATGTATCCTAAAAATTAAAAGTGATATACATTGAGTAAGACTTTACAGTCCTCAGAATACTAATAATGGAAAAATATGTATTTGATATGTTTTCCTGCCATTTCACTATCTAGAAATTGTCCTAATCCTTAAAAGAGATCATTAGCTAGCCACTGAAATCTCAGGAGAAAAGCTGTTAAAACTGACAGCTACATTTTTTAACACTACACATATAGACAACTCAGAGTTTGAATACATTGGATTTGTAATCTCTCTGTTATTTAGAAGAGGTGCTGTATAGGTGAAGGACTCATTTTGTGAACCTTTCTTAGTATATCAGCTAATTTATTCTTAGAACATTTCTAGAGAAAGAAAAACAGCAAGAGATCATCAGAGAATAAAAAAAGGTATTATAAAAATGAGTTAAAATCATTTAAAGTAGCAGTTTATTTTTCAGAAAAGAATTTTAAGCCTCTACATATTTATAAAGAAGAATGGAAACTCTTGAACAACAGTCATGAAAATTTAAAATACAGATCTGATAAAAAATTCCTCTGCCTGTTTTATCAAATGTGTTTAGATTGGAAATAAATGGGGAGTTTGTTTCATAGCTCCCCTGGGTTGGAGGTAAAAAGTTTCTATTCCTTAGGAAATGGAATAAAATAAATTTGTTAATGAAGTTTTGAGATTCATTCATCCATAGCATTCTAAAATAGGAATTAGCTTAGAAAGGTCATCAACGACCAAAATTATCTGAGTTTGGTGGAGATAAAAAAGCAAGACTGAAAGTTATATTTTTTTCAAGCAATGTTTGAATGGATAAAGTACAGAAGGAGAAAAATGGTTGCATTTCTATGCATTGAAAATGCTTATTTGGTTTTCTTTTAAGCTTGTTGTTTCAAATGGCCCACTTAAATTTACTGACTCTATACCAAATAAATTAATCTCATTTTTCACACTGCTATCCCTCTAGTTTCTTGCCTCAATTTATTCCAGAATGACATTCTACATTTATTCAATAAGTACTCAAAGGGATGTGTTATGTGCATGGCATTCAACTAACCATTAGTTGGACAAGACAAACTAAGTAAAGGATATCTTTCTTGCCTTCTTAAAGTTTGCAGTTTAATTATCTTGATATTTCAAGGCTCATTCTCTTACATTTTCACTAATTTTCCATATTTTTTCTAAGTCTCTGAAAAGTTTTGATAGTGAATTCCATCCCTTTTATATTAGCTAAGCTCTCATTGGCTTTCTAACTCAATTTATCACATGGATATTGACTTTCAACCATGTTTTCTTTTTTTTTTTCTTTTGAGATGAGTTTTGCTCTTGATGCCCAGGCTGGAGTGCAATGGGGTGATCTCGGCTCACTGCAACCTCTGCCTCCAGAGTTCAAGCGATTCTCCTTACTCAGCCTCCCAAATAGCTAGGATTACAGGTGTGCACTACCATGCCCAGCTAATTTTGTATTTTTAGTAGAGACCGCGTTTCTCCATGTTGGTCAGGCTGTATTGAACTCCTGATCTCGTGGTCCACCCACCTCGGCCTCTTAAAGTGCTACGATTACAGACGAGAGACACCGTGCCTGGCCTCAACTATGTTTTCAATTCTGAAAACAACTTAAGAAGTATATGACCGTTCTTACCTTCAAATAAATACAATTTTAGTCTAAATGATAAAAGGACTCTATATAGGTAAATTCATCATGGTAAATTCATCATAAGTTAGGAAGTACAAGTGGAATGAAAAGTTGAAAAAAATGGCATAGTACGTGAGTATGAAAGGATACAGAATTAAAACCCATCTAGAAGATTCAGTAAAATATATGGCTTCCTTTTTATCCAAATAATTTTAGAAACTTTCCCTCCAACTTGCACACTTCTATGGCATTCAATTCGCATCTTTATTTTATTTCATCTTATATTTTGTTTTACTTTCTGTCTTTACTTTCCCTTCTTGTTGAAGTAATTATTTCCTAGAAACATAGATCTTCATAAGGTTTATTACTGATTTAACATCTAAAGTTATCATATAATATGAGCTAGATTATGTTATCTAGCAATTTATCAATTGCAAAAATTTCACCCAATTGTAATTTAGAAAAAGTGTCAAACCCCTTAATAAGTTGCAAGAATAACAAAACTAATATTCAAATACATGCAACTCAATCCATAATCCATGTTTGTGTGTGTGTGTAAATTTTTTTTTTTTTTTTGAGACTGAGTTTCACTCTCGTTGCCCAGGCTGGAGTGCAATGGTGCAATCTCGGTTCACTGTAACCTCCGCCTCCCAGGTTCAAACGATTCTCCTGCCTCAGCCTCCCGAGTAGCTGAGATTACAGGCATGCGCCACCACACCCAGCTAATTTTGTATCTTTAGTAGCGACTGGGTTTCTCCACATTGGTCAGGCTGGTCTTGAACTCCCGACCTCAGGTGATCTGCCCGCCTCAGCCTCCCAAAGTGCTGGTATTACAGGTGTGAGCCACCGCCCCAGCTAAATTTTTTAACTTATTCAAAAATCAGTTGTATATATCACTATAATTCACAGGGATAAGCAAATTATTTCTATAAAGAGCAATATAACAAATATTTTAGGAGTGTGTGTCTGTGTGTGCGTAAACTTTTGAGCTTATTCAAAAAGTAGTTGCAAACATTATTATGAGTCACAGTGTCAGCAAAGTATTTATTTCTATAAAGGGCAAGACAGTAAATATTTTAGGCTTTGGGAACATTGTAGAAGTCTCTGTCACAACTGCTGAACCCTGTTGTAACAAGAAAGTAGACAATATGCAAACAAATGGATGTGGCTACAATATTATCAATGTTATTCATAGACACAAATGTTAAATTTTGTTAATTTTGTGTTACGAACTATTATTCTTCTGTTGATATTTTTGTATTATTCAAAAAATATAAAAGTATTCTTAGCTGCAGGTTGTACAAAAACAGGCAATAGGACAGGTTCAGTGTATGGGCTGAAGTCTGCTAAACCCTGTGGTTCAACTATAAATATTACAGTATATAGCTGCTAATAGCAAGAGCAATGTCCTATTTATACACAAGAAAGTTATCACGGGTGGAAATTATATTAAATACATTTTAATCATGCAAGTTATGCAGGAATGTATTACTTTTGAAAAAATCAAACGATTACCAGTAAATCTATTGTGTGTTGGTTCATCCCCAGAAGGCCATTATTATCAGTGTGGTTTGCGTATTTCCAGACATTTTCCAAAGCAATCACATAAGTTTATTTTAAAAATGTATTCTCACATATTTTACTGATAAACCATTTAAAAGTAAATGTGCAAACAATAGTTCTGCAATTCATTCATTCTCTTTAATAAGAAACATGCTGGAGACAAAGAAGGCAGGTTTTTTGGTAACCATACAACCAGCTAACCTCTTGGCAAACGAACTAAGAAGTTTCCAGGAAGGAATATCTTACCTACAGAATGCTTTTAGAAGAATGTATGTGCTGTGATTTCCTTTCTAGGGTTGTTTATGATAACCTAAATCTCTTTGACTCATGGGGCATAGTTTCCTGGACCATCTAAAGACAAAATGAGATATTTTGTGATCTAAATATCTCCTCTGTGTAAGTGAGATGACCGCACATCTTACTCAGAATCATCATCTATTATCCTTGTTCAAAGCATATCTGATGTGGGAGGAAAGGACCCAGGGATTCTCACAGTGCTATCTGACCTTACCTTGCTCCACCTGTACCTCACAATAATTTTTATCCATAAAATTATTAGTTAAGTTTGCATAAGATCTCCGATGCATGTAAGTCTGATTTGATAATCTAATACTTTGTGTATTTTTAACCACAATAATGTGTTTTTATTTTTCAATTTAATATGTATTGGAAATCTTAGTGATTCAACACATGTTAATCTTTATCATTTCTTTAACTCTTAGATATGTCATATTTACTTAGTCATTTCTCTATTGGTGGACATTTAATCTATTTAATGGGCTTTTGGCTATTTTTAAAAAGCTGTAATTGACATCCTATTGCATTTTATTGCACATATGTTAGTATTTCGTAAGACAGAGGATGAGTTAAGGAAAATTGTGCTTATAAGTTATTCACATTGTAAAATTTAATAGATATCAAAAATTTTCATCTAAAGTGGTCTTAAATTATAGATGTCAATTTGATATTATTAAACTTTGAATTATTTTGCTAAACCCATGGATTGAAAGTATAATTTTATGAAATCTTAGGTACCACAGGAAGAAGTATAAATTGATACAACTGATTTGAAAAAAAGTTAGTCTGTGATTAAATAAGTATCCACATATGTTTGCTCCTAAAATTCCTTGGATAGTTATATGTTGTAGATAAACTTATGCATATAATTCTGAGAGCATATGTCCAAGTATTTTCATATTGACTTTGCTCCTAAGCACCCAAACTTTAAAATAACACAAATGTATATAAGGAATAAAATAGAAAATTCTCATCTATATAAACAATCAAATATTATAGAGCAGTGAAAATAAATAAATTACAACTGCTTGCATCAACAGGGCTGTCACTCATAAACATATGTTGAACAAAAGGAGTGTGGCACAAAATAATACAGAAAGAGGATTTCATATTAATTATCAAAGCAGGCCAAAAAAAATAAGGTATGTTGTCCAGAGATGCATACATGGTATACCTTTTTGAAGCACAGCAAAAAAATTATACATAAAACTTAGGGTGAGAGGAGCTTCTTTTAGGAAGGGACACTTTGGGGAGTCTGGGGCGCTGATATAGTCTAATTCGTGGCCTAGTTTGGTTTACATGGGTTAGCTTTACAACCTGAATACATTTAAGCTTTACAGATGTCTTTGATTCATGCTTTTGCATCTCAAAATAAAAGGTTCTATTGTTTAATTTGTTTTACTTGATTATTGAAAAATTTAATTATTTTTAAAAATTTAATTAAATTAGTTTAAATAAATAATTAAGGTCTTTAGAACTACTCTCTTGATTCTTCCAGTAAGTACCTATTTTTACATTTTCCCACTTTTCTATTGATATATTTTTATTTTTCTAAATTATTTATAGATTTGCTTTGGTATACATAGTTTGCATATTGTCTCTTAGTAAAAAATATGTAGTAAAACTATTTTGCTGGAAGTGAAGACTTTAATCTAGCCAAATTAATCAATTTTTTTCAAGGGTATTGATTTTTGAGTCTTGCTTAAAAAGGCAAAAGGGAGTCATACATTAGATAAATATATTGAGAAGGGGAATTTGAATCAGAAAGAAAGGGCAGTGATCAGTTGGAAATATCTGAATACATATTGCCTAATGGGCATGTCCTCTCTCTGACAAAAAGCCTGATCTGACTGCAAATGAGGCAAATTGTGGCCGGTAGCAGCATGAACCTCCTTCTCCACCAAAGGATTGCTCAGTAATAACAGTCTAGCAGAAACTCACCTTGAAAAAAAAAATGTAGACAACATGAAAAAAAGAAAGAAAGGAAGAAAATCAACAGTCATTCAGAGAAGTGCCATCATTGTAAGTGCATAGGGTAAGATTTAAAATAACATAAAGCAAATGAAAGATGCATAAAATACAAAAGAAAGACAGCAGAGAGCAATAAAAAGAGTACTTCCAAATAAGTAGAATTAATATTCTCAGGGGAATGCCAGAAGTTACTGCATCCATTAATAAAGAGGAAAGCTAAAAATGAGATCATTGAAGTAATGATGGATATATAATATCTCAATAAATAATGACTAATTGCATATATAGTAAAAAGAAGGCTGAAATATTTTTAAGCATACTCTTGCATAGTAAAATAAATGAGGTCAAATGAACAATACAAATACACTTCTTTTTGGACACTGACTTCTACTTGCACCTGCAGTTCTGGTCCTCTCTTTTCCACTACACTTTCTGATCTTCTTAGTATGAATTCCAACAAGAGGCTTCCTTTTCTTCTGACTGCTGAGTGAATTCAATGAGTTAAAGTGAATGATTTGTATTCTCAGGAAAGCAGAGAGCAAGATCAAGTAATTTTAACACTGGCTTCCCACGGGTGATTGGCTTTGTCCCTTAAGCTTAGGTGGTTGCTCTTTTCCTGATGAGTCTACTTTATCCTAAAGTTAGTAAACTTGCTCTGCCACTGGCCCTTTCAAACTAGGGGTGATAAAAATCACTCTAACCAAAGGTTACTGCAGTCTCTTGTGTTCTTTCTCATCCCTTCAACAGCTTTGCAAAGAGTCTCCAAACCCTCTCTGCATTATCCTTATTAAATTGCACTATCAGTTTCTTTATATGACCCCAACAAATACATGAATCTCCTAGTTAGGGAAACTGATAGACTAAGAGTACTTTTCTTTCATGTTCAAAGCTAGAAGGTAAGTATTTTCTAATAATGTGAAGCAGCTGAAATGACAATTTGGGTTAGAGCTGTGCTGTGGACTACAGCTATTTGAAAGTACAGTTTTATTTTTATGACAGTTTGCTCTCTGCTGTCTGGGATATTTACATTTTCTTTTCCTATGGAGAAGGTCAGAGTATGATTGATTCAACATTAAAAATAACTTTAGATTGTTTAAAGTGAGGATGTTCTAAATGATAATATTTGTGAAGTCCTCTATTTTGATATTTTTCACTTAAGATCAGTGATTTAGAAATTAAGTGAAAATCTTGTTACCATTTGAATGAACATACTGATATTAATAAAATGATAAGTATTTTAGATGATCATCCAAGTTAGATTTTGACAGAATGCCTAGGGTCTTGGAGTAACCAGCTTTTGGCAATTCCTGGCTCTCTTTTTCATATTCAAATTTGTAAAGAAAGTAGAGAAGAGTAAATGTGTGTAGGTGTCTTCCTCCTGGAAGTAGGCACAAACTGCATGGAAAACCAACCAAAAAATGGTAACAGAAAAATATGATAATAATTTATTTAAAAATAAAATTCTTAGACTTTGTCATAACTAGAAGACTATCTAGAATTGTGAATGAAGTAAGGACCCCAAATAAAGACGCATTTCTAATTCTCATATTTCTGGCCCATGCAGCAAATATTGGGTATGCTAGATGGAAGAAAAGGTGTTCAATATATAACATCCTCTTCCATATCTCAGTTTTGATTCCATTAAAATTAATACAAGGAATGTAGCAGAATAGTGAGAAACAAACACATTTAGTCTGATATAGGGGATGCATATTCATGGCAGTTGAGCCTTCTAATATTGAATTCCAGAGTTAGTGCAGAAGCAAAGAATGTGTGCTTTCTGTGAGTGATTCCTAAATAAAAAGAACAGAGACATATGTTTTTAACAAGTACTTATGTGGGATTCATAAAATTAATTTTTATATTATCCTCTCCCCATCAACAAATTGTTAGGGACACCATGTCCGTGTTTTAAATGTTCATTAAAATTGCATTGTATTTTAATCTCAACAATATCAATATAGATTTAATCCTCAGTCATGTATATCAACTTTTGTGAAAATTAATTTTATTTTCTTTCACTGGCATAAGTTTATTTTAATAGTTATTTGAAAAAAAAAAAAACTCCTGGATTTTTTATTCCCCTGACTTTTTAAATGTTTAAAAGATGGCTGTTTCTTACCTTCATGTGATTAGGGGACCTTATGTTAAATTCTTGAGTTATGCTTTCTGCAGACTTTAGGTAGACAGAGTTTCACTGGTGAGGTAAATTTTTTTAAACTGTGAAATGCACAGATCTAAAGTTTACAATTCAATAACTTTGGACAAATACAAAGACCCATATAATCAATACCGATTCAAGCTACAGGCATTTTCCTCACCTCAAAAATTCCTTCATGCCTTTCCACTTAAATCTCATTCACACATCAAATCTTTAATCCATTCTTATTTTCATAACCGTGGAATAGTTTTGCCTCTTCTGGAATGTCATATAAATGGAACTTTATACCGTGTAATTTTTTTTTAAATTTGTTCAACATAATAAGAATAGATATTCAACTTTTTATTTTATTCAATATAATATTTTATAGAGGCCCAGACATTTTGTTACACATGTCAATATCTGATTTGTCATTGTTGTTGTTAATTCTGAGCACTGTAGTATCCACTGTATGAATATATACAATTCGTGTATCCATTCCTTTATTGAAGGATGTTTGGGTTGTTTCAAGGTTTAGTTTTAAGAATAAAACTGTTCTAATAAGTTTTGAATAAATCTTTATCGTGGCATCGGTTATTATTTCTTTTGTATACATAACAGAGAAAAAAACTTACTAGGTCAAAGAAAAATATATTTTAATCTTTATAAGAAAATAATTAACTGTTCTCTGGAGTGTTTGCCCCATTTTACACTCTTAAGAAACAAAAGACTTCCAGTTGCTACATATCTATAATTTTTGGTATTGTCAGTATTTTAAAATTTCTTTAAATAATTTCTAGTGAATGTGCAATGGCTGTCATTGTCATGTATATTTGCATATTCCTAATGAATAATGATGTCCAGTGCCTGTTCATGTGACATTGCATATCTTCCTTTGTAAGATATTCAAGACTCATGCCTATTTGGGGAGAGGCTGTTAGATGTTTTATTACTGAATGGTACCACTTATTAAGATCTTCTAAGTCATTTGTATGTATTAAAAATAATTCCTCTGATTCTGTGTCCTGCCTTTTAATTTTTTTAAATGCTTTCTCTTGATGAGTAGAAAATCTTATTTTGAGGAAGCCCTATTTATATAATTTTTTCCTTTACGGCTACATTTTCTGTTTGTTTTGTCTGAAATATTTTTGACTCCCTAAAGATGCAATATTTTGCCTCCCTAAGATGCAGGATTGTTCTCTTATATGCTTTATAGTATTAGTTTTTATATTTATGTTTCATATTTATGTTTATGAGCATCTCAAATTGGATTCATCACAAATTTGTAAATGATATGGGATAAACATTGACGTTAGGCTAAGCATGATGACTCACACTTGCAACCCCAGTGCATTAGGAGACTGAAGAAGGAGGATTTCTTGAGCCCAGGAGTTTGAGGCTGCAGTGAGCTATGATTGCACCACTCCAGCCTGGGCAACAGGAAAAGTTAGAAATAAAAAAATCATTTGATTTTCATAAATTTATCTAGTTGTTTCAGATTTGTTGTAAAAATATGTATTTTCTATTGTCCTTTGTCTTCATAGAAAATCAGTTCATCATCTATATTAAACACGAACATATTTATGGATGCTCCATTTTTTAACATGCAGCTTTAAAAATCTTAAAATAATTTAATGTTACTTCTTTGATTATATTATTTTCCAAGATTGGTTAAGTTACCTATGTTCCTTTGTATTTCTGCATATTTATATACATCTTGACATCACATTGTTTATTTTTATTTTGCAGTAAAATCTGATGTGATTTTCATCAGAGTTGAAATACATTTGTAGATCAATGTAAGGTGGATGGATATCTTAATATAAATAACATATCAATAAGAACATGTATAGATCTACGTTTTCTATTTTTTCTTAACATTTATCAATAATATTTTTTAGCTTTTAGATAAAAGACCTATGCATATTTTGTTGCCTTTATTCCTAAGAATTATATGCTTGTGATTATTCTATTGTGAATAGAATTTATTATTATGTTTTAATGATTCATTATTAGTATGCAACAACACATTTTACCGGTTAAGAACTGCTTATCCAAAATGCTTGTCGAATTAATGCAAAAACAGCAAACTAAATACCACATGTTTTCACTTATAAGTAGGAGGTAAACATTTGGTACCCAAAAACACAAAGATGAGAACCATAAACACTGGAGATTCCAAAAGGGAAGAGAGAGGGAGCTGGCCAACTGTTGAAAAACTATCTATTGGGTCTTATGTTCACTACATGGGTGATGAGATTATTAGAAGTCCAATATTCAGCATCACACAGTATACCCATGTGACAAACATTCAGATGTACCCCTAGAATCTAAAATAAAATAAAACAATCAGTTGCCAATATACAAATTGAAGTTGAATTCAACTAATGCTGCACTCTTTTCCCTGTTGCAATCATTATTACTGATTAAAATCTGTCCTTACCACTTTAACTAGTGTCCTCCTTCGTTTATTTTTAATACAAGAGGCCTTTCTGCCTTGTCTACTTATGTATTTCCAATGTTTGCACAGTTTTTGTTCATAGTGTCTGCTTAATAGGTATTTGTTAAAAAAAATAAATGAGCACATATAATGAGTTAAAAAATGCTTGGGACCAGAGGTATTTCAGATTTCAAATTATTTTCAGATTTCAGAATATTTACATTATACTTACAAATTCAGTAGTGCTAATCCAGAAATCCAAAATCTGTAATGCTTAAGTGAACATTTCCTTGAGCATCACGTCAGCTCTCAAAAAGTTTCAGCTTTTAGAGCATTTCAGATTTCAGATATCTGGATAAGGAACACTCAACATGCACTTTTCTATATTAACCTTATTTGCTATAAATTTCATATATATATATATTATTTAGTTCTAGTAGCTTTTGAAATGTATTCCTTAGTTTTTTTCCATAATCATCTCATTTTCAAGTAAAGACAATTTTGTTTTTCCTATTCAATCATTATGCCCTTTATTTTCCTTTTATAATGGTTAGTGCTTACAGTAATGTGTAGAAGAATAGTAGTGAGATGAACATTCTTTCTTTTTTCCTGATTTTATGTGGAATTTTTCAATATTGCACCTTTAAATAGTACCCTGCCTGAAGATTTTTTGTAGGTTGTGGAAATAAATAACACCTAATAATAACAGAGAGAATCTATATTTATTCAGACGTTTTATAACAAGAAAGTCAGCTGTCATCATATATGTTTTGCAGAGACTCAAAGAAAGGCTGAGGAATAGGAAAGTTTTGTACTTGGAAAAGGAAAGCTTTTGGATGTGCTCTGCTTTAAGGTTGTATGGGGAAGCTGAAGATGGACTAAATAAATAAGGGGAAATGGAGCATCTTATGTGATCAGTCAGAAAGCATACTTGACTTTCTCTGATGGGTCCTGAGTTGGCAGCGGGGGCAAAAATAGGGAACCTGGCAATCATTAACTAAATCCTATTCATCTGGGGCTGGTTGATGCAGAGGCTGTGGTTTGGCTTCCCAGGCTGGTTGCTACAAAGATGTGGGTCAGAGCTCTATTCTTATACATGGTCTGGCTACCCCTCCTCCCATTTTGTCATTAACTAGCTTGTGAGGCATTGACTAAGCCAATTCAGGGAAGTTTAGAGATTCAAATCTTCACGACTTAGAGACTGTTTAGTTGTCTCTATTGTCAACCATATTATGAGATGTTCTTGAACTTTTTGCAGTTTTGTAGTAAGGGCAATCTTCTGGTGAGAGGGCTGCTATAAAAAGGAAGTTAAGACTGAGTTAAATGCAATTGGCCAGCATCATGACTACTATGACAAAAACAAGAACAATGAGTAGTTCCTATAAAATGCTTCAGAAATAAAACCCCAGTTGTCCAACTCAAGTCAAGAGAACAAATCTTACAGGTTATGAGGATCAGCCATAGAGAGCCAAGTAACTTCTTCCTTAAGGCAATATATAGCTTATTCCATCTTGCTGTATTAATCATGGTTATTGTTTTTGTTTTGCTTTGACATCTTGAGACCATATGGGTTTCAAGACAGAGTGCTCCTCCTAGGGTTAGCTAATTTCTAGAAATACTAAACAACTTGCCTATGAGCATGTTATTTATATGCAAACCAACCAATCCAGAATCCACACCCTCACTTGACTCTTATTATATGGCTCCTGTGGTCTGGGACATTATCCCTCTGCTTTCATCACCTCAGAATCAGGTGCTGGAACACTAGGGACTAAATTACACAAAAAGCACTCACACTACCCAGTCTTAAACCTGCTCAGCTGCTTACACTGTCTCACTCATTCCTTCCAAGGAAAACCATATTAAAGGCTCTGGCTCATGCTTTAGTCTTGCTCCTTTTGCCTTCACTGACTCTGGTACTTCCCCATATGGCCCCAGTGCATGATGTGCTGTGGCTCCTGTTTCCAGGGCTTTATGTGTATAAGAACACGTGACAGTCATTTCTGTCTCTGCACGTCTCTCCATAATTAAATGGAGACAAAAAGAAATCTAGAGCAATGAAACAGTGTAGCTGTTTGGTTTTTTTAATTAATTTCAACTTTTATTATAGGTTAATGAAAGACTGTTACATGAGTAATTGTGTGATGCTGAGGCTTGGAGTCCCAGTGATCCTACTACCCGGGCAGTAAACACAGTACCCAACAGGTAGTTCTTCAGCCCACCCCTACCTTTCCTCCCCAGTCTAGTGGTCCCCAATGTCTATTGTTCCCATCTTAACATGTATATTCAATGTTTAGCTCCCATCTATAAGTAAGAAGATGTGGTATGTGGCTTTCTGTTCTTCTATTAGGTCACTTAGGATAATGGTCTCCTGCTCCATTCATGTTGCCACAAAGAATATGACTTTGTTCTTTTCTATGGCTGCACTGCATTTTGTGATGTATACATACCATATTTTCTTTACCCAATTCACTATTGATGGACACCTACAATAGTGTCTAATCTATAGAAGAATTAGATTTTCTTCTAGTATTATTATAGTTTTAGGTCTTACTCATAAATTTTTAATCTTGAGTTAATTTTCATATATGTTGAGAGGTAGGGGTCCAATTTCAATCTTCTGTATATGGCTAGCCAGTTACCACAGCACAATTTATTGAATAGGGAATTTTTTTTCCCATTGCTTGTTTTTGTCAGCTTCTTCAAAGGTCATCTAGTTGTAGGTGTGCAAATTTAGTTCTGGGTCTTCTATTCTATTCCACTGACTGGTCTGTGTGTCTGTTTTTGTATCAGTACCACGCTGTTTTGATCACTGTAGCCTTATAGTACAGTTTGAAGTCTGGCAATGTGATACCTCTGGCTTTTCTTTTTGCTTAGGATTGCTTTGGCTATTCAATCTCTTTTGTGGTTCCAGATGAATTTTATAATAGGTTTCATTCTAATTATTTAAAAAATGGCATTGGTATTTTGATAGGAATAGCATTGAATCTGTAAATTGCTTTAGGCAGTATATCCATTTTTAACAATATTGATTCTTCCAATCCATGAGCATGGATATTTTTCCATTTATGTGTCATCTCTGATTTCTTTCAACAGTGTCTTGTACTTCTCCTTGCAGTGGTCTTTGACCTCCTTGGTTGGATGAATTCCTAGGTATTTCATTTTCTTTGTGGGTACTGTAAATTGGATTGTGTTCTTGGTTTGGTTATTAGCTGCAATGATTTCGGTTCATAAAAATGCTACTTATTTTCCTACAATGTTTTTATTTCTTGAAACTTTACTGAATTCACTTATCAGTTCAAAGGGCCTTCTGATGGAGACTTTAGGATTTTCTATGTGTAGAATCACAGCATTGGCAAAGAGAGATTGTTTAATTTCTTTTCCTATTTGGATGCCTTTTGTTTCTTTCTCTTGCCTGTTTGCTCTCACTAGGACTTTCAGTGCTATGCTGAATAGAAGTGGTAAAAGTGGGCATCCGTGTCTTGTCTCAGTTCTCCAGAGGTGTGGTTCCAGCTTTTGCTGTTCAGTTTGATGGCGACTGTGGGTTTGTCATAGATAGTTTTATTATTTTGAGGTATGTTCCTTCAACGCCTAATCTGTTGAGGGTTTTTATCATAAAAGGAATGTTGAATTTTATTTATTTATTTATTTATTTTTGAGACGGAGTCTCACTCTGTTGCCCAGGCTGGAGTGCAGTGGCGAGATCTCGGCTCACTGCAAGCTCCACCTCCCGGGTTCACACCATTCTCCTGCCTCAGCCTCCCGAGTAGCTGGGACTACAGGCGCCCGCCACCATGCCTGGCTAATTTTTTGTATTTTTAGTAGAGACGGGGTTTCACCGTGGTCTCGATCTCCTGACCTCATGATCCGCCTGTCTCGGCCTCCTGAAGTGCTGGGATTACAGGCGTGAGCCACCGCGCCTGGCTGGAATGTCGAATTTTATTGCTGGCTTGTTCTGTATCTATTGAGATGATCCTATGTTTTTTGTTTTTGATTCTGTTTATGTGGTGAATCACATTTATCAATTTGCATATGTTGAATCAACTTTATATCCCAGGAATAAACCCTACTTGGTCATAGTGAATGAACTTTTTGATGTGCTGCTGGATTTGGTTTGACAATTTTTGCTTGTATTTTCATCAGAGATATTGATCTGTAGTTTTCTCTTTTCTTTTTCCGTGGTCTGTGCCAGATTTGGTAACAGGGTAATGCTGGCTTTGTAGTATGAGTTAGGTAGAAGCCCCTCCTCCTTGATTGTTTGGAGACATTTCAGTAGGATTGGTATCATTTCTCCTTTGCACATCTGATAGAACTCAGCTGTGAATCCATCTGTTACAGGGCTTTTATTTTATTTTATTTCGTAGGTTTTTATTACTAATTTCATTTCCAAACTTCCTATTGGTCCGTTCAGGTTTTCACTTTCTTCCTGATTCAATCTTGGGAGATTGTGTGTTTCCAGGAATTTATTCATTTCCTCTAGATTTGTGTGCAGAGAGGTGCTCATAATAGTCTCTGCATATATTTTGTATTTTCATGGGATCAATTTTAATATAATCTTTATAATTTCTGATTATACTTATTTGGATCTCTTTTTCTTTGTTAATCTAGCTAATGATCTATCAGTATTGTTTATTAAAAAAAACTCTTGGCTTCATCTTTTGTGTGGACTTTGAGATATCAATTTTTTTTCAGTTCTCTGACTTCAGTTTTTTTTTTTCTTCTACTAGCTTTGGGGTTGGGTCTTTTCTGTTGCTTTTTTTCTAATTCCCCTAGTTGCTATGTTAGGTCATTAACTTGAGACCTTTTTGTCCCCCTGATGAATGCATTTAGCACCATCAATTTTCCTTTTAACACTGCTTTAGTGTAGTTTTTGAGTCATCATTGCTATAATGGTTAAGTCCAGTAGGCCAAAGGCATGAAAAAGTAGTTAGTTATGGGGTGCTTCTACCATGTTTCAGATATGTTTTTCCCTTTGAAGTGACCCATTCACATAATGCCCTTGGTCTGCTTTCCCCATCCACTCACTTTGCCCCAGAAAAATGGAATGAGGTACTTATTCAGAGAGTTTAAACAAAAACTTGAGGACGCATAACCCAGAATCATTCTTACCTTCTGCCTCTCTGAGGCTCAGAGAAAGCTTACACTCTGCTCTCCTAAAAACATGTGCATTGCCTGTCAAAGGAGTTCTGTTCTAGTTCAATGTTGTTTCTGTCTGAGTGGGTTCATCTATATAACACTGAGATTCAAGTTTAGGAAGCTGACTCATGTCCATATATAAATCACATTCTGCAAGATCTGCTTTAGTTGTGTTAAATTTATTTTGCTTTCTTCCCTTCTTGTAAGAAACCTATACTATAAGAACTCTAACTTACAATTTTATAATCTGTTCTCTTAACTTTGAATGTACTTTAGGAACAAATATGCATAAACGTTAATCAGTTTCTCTATTCAAAATTATTTTAATCTCATTATAATTAAATACAATCGTTTCTTAATAGTCAATTTGTATAAAATCTTTATCAACTATCTCTTTGTCAATAAACCTTAGGAAAATATGTGAAATCTTGTTCTACATATTTTGAAAATGGTTATTTCTTGATGGTGAGAATTTCGATGATAAATTTAGTTTTATCTTAATTACTTATACTTTTTATTGCTTTCTTGTTAGACTGCTCAGGCTGCCATAACAAAATGCAATAAACTTGGTGTCTTATACAACAAATTTTTTTCCTCATAGTTTGGAGGCTAAGAAGTACACGATCAGCATACACATGGTCAGTTTCTGCTGAGGGTATTCTTCATTCTTGTCACACAGATACCTTTTGTTGTGTTCCCACAGGGAAGAGAAATAGAGAAACACACAGAGAGACAGAGACAAAGGAAGTGTACAAGAAAGTGCTCTTTTGTGTCTTTTATAATAAATTCACTAATTCCATCGTGAGGACTCCATCCTCATGGTTTCATCTCAACCTTTTGACCTCCAAAAGCCCACATCTCCAAAACCATAATACTGGGGATTAGGGCTTCAAAATTTAAATTTGGGGTGGGAGAGACACAAACATTTAGTCCAAAATATTTGCATTTTAAATTAATGAGAATCCATTCAAACTAAAAAATAGGGTCATTATTATTGATTTTCAAAAAAATAAATTTGAAAAAAAAGATTTGTCTCTGATTTACTCTTTGAAGAGTCACATATTGTAGAAAGTGATTGTTACTTTCCCCTTAAAAAAAGTTTACCAGTTTTAAACCAAAGAAAATCCGAATAATCTATAGTCTCCTACCATTAAGTGTACCTAAAAATTGTCATCCTATGAAATGTATACATTATTACAATGCACTGTGAAGAATGCCTAGGATTATTAGAATTACTAAATGAGAAAAGTTAATGGATATAAGATAGAATACAAAATCAATTTTCTATAATAACAGAAATATTTAAGAAATACAATTTCAAAAGTAAACTTTAGTAGCTACTAAAGCAAGGTTGTTTATAATAAAAAGACAATGTATCTCATTCTCACTCTATACATCTCATCAAGAATATAAATATGAAACACAAAGCTTTAAAATTTTAAAAGCAATTTAGCCTGAATCTCAGAGTATGAAAAAAATTTTCAAACCAGCACAAAAACTGACTGGAGCAAGACAATTTGTAAATTTGATCCCACAGATATCAAGAGTATCTGTTCCTTCTAAATCACCACTGGTAAAATGAAAAATCATCATAAACAGCATGGCAACATTTGCAAGTACATAACAATCTATTAAAATTCATGATACAATTAATTTCTGTTAAGGATTTAGAAAAAGACATAAAAATTAAAATACGAAAATACATAAGCAGACTTTTTAAATAATAAAAAAGTTAAAATACATGAAATGGTACCAAAGCTTATTATTAATTCAAATTAAAACTATAAAACAACAAAATATAATTTCTTTTTTTTTTTTTTTTGAGAGGGAGTCTCACTCTGTCACTCAGGCTGGCGTGCAGTGGCACAATCTCAGCTCATTGCAACATCCACCTCCTGGATTCAAGCTATTCTCCTGCCTCAGCCTCTCAAGTAGCTGGGATTACAGGCATGCACCACCACACTCAGCTAATTTTTGTATTTTTAGTAGAGATGGGGTTTCCCCATGTTGGCCAGGCTGGTCTTGAACTCCTGGCCTCCGTTGATCTGCCCACCTTGGCCTCCCAAAGTGCTGGGATTACAGGCACGAACCACTGCACCCAGCCCAAAATATAATTTCGTATACATCACATTATAAATTTTTAGACTGCATTTATTTTTGTGTGAGTTTGGATGTAGGGCAATTCAAACTTTTATATACTACTATTGGCATACAAATTAATGTGATTACATTGTACAACAATTTAACATTATCTAATAATGTTGATCATGTGCCAAGCCTGTGACCCAGGAATTCCATTTCCAGAGACATCTTAGCTCTTGCATTTCTGGCAACAAGTACACAATAAGCATAGTAGCAATGTTAATTTAAAAAAATCACAATAGCATTGAAAATTTCAGAAAACTGAACAAATTAATGTTCATAAGAAGCAGAAAAATAAAGTGTGATCTACTCATTCCTTGGAATAGTGACACACATATCAGATTGGATTATTCCGAGAACAGTACTTAGAGAGAGAGAGAAAAACAGCAAATTAAATCAAAGAGGACCAACAGGATGAAAGATTTGCCCTATTAGACATCGAAACTTTATAACATACAACAATTCAGACACATCTTGTTCTTGAAGATGGATAGTATGCTGGAGTCACCTTGCCTCAACTTCTGGCTACGAAGTCTCCCCTGAACTCCTCATGAAAATGGGCTTTACAAATACAAACTAACCAATTCCCAAACACATACTCTATAGGGCTCTCACACTCCAGGCCACTGTGCTTCTGTCCTAATCACGCTAGGGCCAAAAACCAGACAACCAGGGACAACTCTTATGCCCCAGAGCCCACTGAAATTATTCAAACGAGCCAGTCCTAAGCTTGTTTACCCTGCTTGGTTTCTTCCTGCAAACACCACAGTCTAGGGTCTTGCTCCTGAATTCCTCCCTCTCTCTGTTTCCTGATGGACCTGAGTTCTTCCCTGTAGTCTCCCCTGGCGTGACATGCTCCCTTCTCTTGGAAACTGTGAGTATCTTTTCAATGGCAATTGTCTTCTGATCTTACCTTACTATACCTTAGCTTTTCTATTAATACACTATATATTAAAACAATATTTAATATAGGTGAAAAATTGAGAAAAGATATTCTAAAAAATGGTAAACCAGAATCACACACAAAGAGTATGTGAAAAAGAATGAGGTAAATACAAATAGAATGACATGGCTAGTGTGTGTGGTTGGTGGGAAAATAAAGAGGGAAATGATGTGTTTTAAGTTTGAGGTTAAAAAATTAGAGTAAAATTGAGAAATACGGTTTTAAGTTCAAACTATTGAATCTGTTAAATCTAGAGAAATCAACAATAAAGTATCTATTTAGAGTAATAACTAAATCTGCTTTTGCTTTTTTCAATTAAAATAGAAACAAATATTGTGGCATTATTTTTATTGTAACAGTTTTGGGCTGCTTTTGAGTCTTTGTTTTTGGAAAGTTTTTATTTTTAGGTTATTTTTCTTTTGTGATATTCTAGACAACCTCTTGTATAAATGTTAAAATGTAATTTTACTACCTTTGAGTCATATTTTAATGTGCCCTAGTTATTAACAAATTTATTCAAGATTAAGTACTATATTTTTAACTTCTTAAAAAAATAAATTTCTTTCTATGCAATGATTGACCTTGAAAATACAAAAGTTGTACAGTATGCACATAATATTCATACTGAATCTAATTGTTTAACTGTTGTTTAATTCATTTAATCATTCCTCTTTCAAGGGAAACATATTGAATAATTAGGTAAAAATTTATCAGCAGCCACTGTGTTTATTTGGTAATTTTGTATGCAAGATAGCACATTGTAGTCTTGAGGAAAGACATTTCCTTACTAAGATAGCTATTAATTCAAATTCTGTATTGTTTTAAACAATAAAAATTCAAAATACGTATTTTGATAAGAAAGGAATTTGAATTTGCCAATAGTTGCTTTCTCATTTAATTTTTAAAAAAGAAAAAAGCCCTATCTTCGAATAGACAACTTTATTAAATCTGATGAATTTTTGTAAAGTCTGTTTAAGTTGTTTCTGCTTTGATTGGTTAAACAACTAACTTTTAAAACAATGTTAGAAACTAACATATTATATATATTTCAGGATATCTTACAATATTATTTCATTTTTCTATGTAACTGTACTTGTATCTATGTCTATGTCTATATCTGTATCTGTATCTATCTATATCTGTATTTAGACAGAGTATCTACAAGAACAAGTAGGTGGGAGTTTGGTCCTAATCCAAGGATTTTCAGTCACTGATAAATACAGTTTTCTCACGGAAGTTTCGTATCTGACTTTCTCTCCACTGGAAATTTCTGTTGCTATTCAAATAGTTCTACAATGTGCCTCCAGAAAATATGTCAATAAGATTAAAAAGTCAACATTTCATAAATTGAAATTGCTATTTTGACCTCCTAAAAATATATAACTTTTATTAAAATGAACTACTATTAAAATATATTCCACATAGGTATGGTAATTGCTTTTATTAGAAAACTTGAAAGAAGTGAGATAATCTGAGTAATATGGTTTACAACAGATATGTAAAAACAAAGAACACATATCTGTCATCTATATTTATTCAGTTTTATGTGTTATAATTAAATGAATTTGGGTTCTTGCTTCTCTCAATTATGACATAATAAATGATAGAAAATATACATGTTTTTCCAGAAGTCATTTTATAAACATAATATTGAGTAACGTTTAAAAATTAAAAGTAAAAATTAAATATTTATACTTTAATTTGGAGAAAAAAACTGCTGTAAGCCTAGTATTATAAATGCAAAGTAAGGAGAAGTGTTGAGTCCACTGGTTGCATCAAGAACTTTTTATCAAACTTAGAGGCACATAATCAGAAAAAGATATGTATATTTGTCCTAGAAATTAAGATTAAAACATATATATCTAATGACATTGAGAGATAAGGAAAGGTAATGATCTATTAAAATCGTTTTCTGAATGAGTATCAGCTAAAATCATGACAAATTCGTATGCAGACTGAAATCCTAATCAAAGCGTAAGTAAAAAGAAATGAAAAAGGTCCTTAAAATTTTCTGAAATTTTTATATGTGAATTATATTTCAAAGAAGCTCAATTTAAAATGCCCTCATGTTCAAAGTAAAAATACATATTACAAATTGTGTAATATGTATTAATTTTAAATTTTATAAAAAATCAGTGAATTCTTTCAAGTTTTTCAAAGTGTTATGGTTAAGTCTAAATAGGAACTATACTTAAATTACTTTAGATTGTTTAAAATGAAAAATTATTTTTAATTTATTCAATGTTTATTTTATGTGTTCAGCATTCTGATGATTCTTTGAGAAGGAAAATAGTATAAATAGTTGAACATACTTAAAAACATCATATTGATCACAATTATACATAATTTTTTAAAGTTCTTTTGATTTTTTGCTATACTTTGTTAATTGATTAATTGTACAACAATTATAGCCATAATTGGAATAAGAACTGGACTGTATATAGTTTGACAGGTAGAGAAGTAATATTGTAAGATGAGAAAAAAAGGTAACAAATAGTTAAATGTGAGATAACTTGTATAATGGAATTTAAAAATTGTAATTAAATTTAGAAGTAAAATAAATGCTGATATAGATAAATTTGATAAGAAACATAGAGCAATTTTTAGCAGTATGGACTCATCTTAAAACCGGCAAATGGATACTATCATTTTAAAACATTAATTAGAACTTTGGGTCTGCTTTCCCCCATGCCCTATTAGTAGTAAATTCCTTATTGGCTCCCTTTTAATATGTACATGCCAGTTTAATAATTTCAAAACCCCTAGAGTTTTTTTCATTTCAAAGTTATTTTGATTGTTCTAAATGATAAGCAGAGAGAATCAGTCTTTCCCCGTTATTGCTTCTTTTGTCACATCAGGTCTGTATCCAGACCCACATACATTTTCTCGAGGTCTTCTTGGGGCAGATTTGACCCTATGTCCTCCGCACATGAACAATAAAATTAGTTATCAACTAACATTCATATGACTTACCATGTTTCTCCAAATCATAGCCAGCCCGTGTGCCTGTACTTGAGTCAAGAGCCTCAGCACATCACCGGCTGAAGTTAATTTAAGTGCAGAGCTTTTCCAAGCTGTGCAGCCTTGTTTGGTATGAAATTTCCACTTAAAATAGGGTTTTCTTAACTAGACTGTTTGAATACTTTTCCTCAGAGTTCTTGAACTCACTGTGCAAATTTTTCCACTTTTCATCTTCTATTAGGTCAGCATACAATGCATTTACAAAATCAAAGTTTATTGTCACGTCTTAATTCTAGGATGGAATTCTAGGTGTCTGCCTTCTCTACATTTGCATAAAAAAGAGGACATTTGGGGAAGACATAAAAACAAATAAAAAACAAAACACAAAAGTTAAGTTAAAAAAAGATAACAATTTGCAAAATTAGCTTATGTGAAAATAAAACTATAATTATTTAAGGATATTCTAAACCAATTTGGAATGTCAATTTGTTGAAGAAGACTATATTTTTATATATTAAGATTTATAGAAGTTAAAATTTTTATCTGAGCAATTCAATATATTTTATGATAATAAATTATATAAATTCCAGCAGAAAATCATATTAGATGATTATGGTTTATTTAAGGATTCTAGTAAAATCTTTAACATAAAAAAATACTCATATTGGTATACATACAGAACATAGTCATCTACCATTCATAGTTCAAGCCAGAGCTATTAAGAATATTAGATTGGATAACTCAATATCAATATTGATATCCATTGTAAATATATACAATAGAAGCCACTAATCTTACCAAAAAGATATAAAATTACCGAAATTTTTTACAAACAAGCTTTCATAATAATATTTATTTTCTGGGCTGTAGTATTAATTCTAAAAAATGACAAAAATTTGTAAGAAAATATATGACATAATTTTGACCTATTGAAATATTATTAAATGTGCTATTAATACAATAGTCATGAAAGACCTTATACAAAAAGAAAGTATTGTTCATGGCATTTACAGAGAACACATTGGTATGACTCCTTCAGGGTATTTATAATTATGAAGCAAGATTTGACTGAGAATACTGAAGAAAACATTTACTTAATTTTTTGAAACAGCTCTGAGTAGATGAATAGCACTTATTTAGGTTCTTTATTCTCTTTTGCTTCCTTTCTCCTTTCCTTATTTTCTGTCGTAGATGAGCCAGGCAAGTAACCCAAATGCGTGATATGGACTAGGTCTAATAAAACTGAGCAGTGGAGAAATTGTGGTAAAATGAAGCATCTGAACTTTGCTTGTAAAGGTCCGCTTCTTAAGTCTATTCAGTGTAAACTGCCTCCACCTTATTTGATGTTTATCAAGATAAACCAAAAATACAAGATTGGAGAATTAAATATTGAAATAGTCAACTATGGGAATGTTCTCAATTAAAAACCAAGGAAGCAAGCAAACAAACAAACAAACAAACAAAAAACACATTGTGCTGGCCAACACTGTGAAAGCTAAAATAACTCTGGAAATGTATTTGGATCAGTTATTGTAAATTTATAATTTTCCTCTAGGAAGTAGACAGTAGGATAAACCATTGAAATGTTTCTATCTTGTTTTGATGTAGTTCCAATACTTACTAAATATGTGGCTTGGACATGTTAGCTTCTTTATTTTTAAAACAGAGCAAAAATAGACATCATGTTGATTTGAATACTAAATGGGATAGAAGTAATAAACCATATATGGCAATGCTTAGTACATTAGTAAACACTTGATAAATAAGTGGTAGCTATTATTATTGCTTGCCAAATAACTTTACAGAGGTGTCCAAAAATTCAAAATCCCACATGTCCTCAGAGTTATTTCTGCTTGCCAGGTGTCCCTGTTTAGAAATTAATAGGAAGTACACACCAGAATTTGACATTTAGATGTTTCATTCCACTTGTCTTCTAGTTTAAAAATACTTATGAGAATTCTTTATATTTTTTAAAAAATGTTAAATGATAACTAACAAAACAAAATAGAAAGTGTTATTTAATGAATTCAAGTTCACAAAACCGCTTCTTATCCTAAAATATCTTAAATAGTTCTCATACTGCCCTCCTTAATAAACTCTGCCTTCTTGCTCTGCAGGCAATCACCTGCCTATGTTTCATTTATTTTTCCTGTGTTTCATGTTTATGATTCCTATGCATTTTTACTTTCTTCTACTGTTCAATTATGAATTCTAAAATAAATGTGATATTTTTGCCTGTTTTTAACTCTAAATAGTTTTATAATTTCATTATACCATTACCTAATATTTGATTCAAACTTGAGTGGTTCATAATATTAATTTGCATTAATTATCAGTGATGTACTATATCCCACTGTATAACAATAGCTTGAATTATATTTTGATTCTCTACTGATAGATATATAGGTCAAATCTAGGGTTTAAAAAAAATCCCAACAATGCTGCTATAAGCACTCTTACATGTTTCACTGTGTATGCATGTGTGAGAATTTTTCCACAATATATACTCAGAGGTACCCTTGCTGGATCAAGAGCAACTGTACGTTTTCACATTTTAGGTACTTCCAAGTTTTCTCCAAAGTGGTTGTACAGTGTATGTTTACCAGCACTGTAAATGTAAATGAAATATATCTTTATTACCCTTGGTATTATCACACATTTTCTTATTTGCCAGTCTAATCACTGGTGAGATGGAATCAGGATTGATAAACCTATTCATGATTCCTCTTTTCTTTCTTCAAATTGCCTTATATTTAGGCTACTCTACTACTGGAATACTTTTCCTTTTAGTATCTTTCTTTATATTATCAACAGTTTTGAATGTTAATACTTTTTGCATTATAAACATCTTATTTTTTCTCCTATTAGCACTTTCCTATTTGTAATTGCATATTTTCAAGAATGGTGTTTTACACTTTGTCACCAACTTAATATTTTTATTTAAGTTTAGCTGTTCTTTAATCATGTTTATATCATTTGTTAGCCTAAGCTGATAAATATTCTACTGGATTACCTTCTAGAAGTTTTTAAGCTTTATTTTCTATCTAATTTTTTCAGATATCAAATAATCCCTCATATATTATACATTTCCCATGAAGTTTTTATTTACATTGAATGAATTTGTAGTTCTTTAACCATGTGAAACATTTCATTATGAAATATTTCAATAAAAATATGATGTATCTTTTATCAATATGTTTTTGCTCATTCTTGCATATATTAGTTTTTTTGGCTATTAAATTTTCTAAGTGGAAACTTTTTGGTAAGATTTTTCTTTCTGGTTTAACTGGCTATCTGATTGAAAAACAACCAAAATATCTCCAGATGGATTAAAGAATTACACACAAAAATATAACTTTAGTGAAGTAGATCCATATGTTATCAAATAGCTTAAAACTAACTTTAAAAAAAAAAAAGTCAATGTGACTACTTAAAAATTCTGTTCAGATAATTGCAGGGATACCAGTTTGAAATAATCTGACTTAAAATCATACATTTATGTACATAAAAATAAATTTGGTATCAATGAAAACACTAAAAACTAGAAAACAATCTAACTTCTGAAATTATTCTAAAATAGTATAAGAATATATTTTATATATGCTTGTAGGAAGGGCTCTTTAAAAGTGTGACGCAATTCATAAAGGAAAAAATGTTTAAAGATAAATACTGATTAATTGATTATTAAGCCAGATTCAGGTAACCCTACTACTAATTTACACAATTACATAGTGAATCTTTGAGGCTTAGATGCTAATACATATGAAGTAACTAAAATCAAAACAAATAAATTCCTTGTAATTGGTTTGCATTTATTTCAGCAGAAATGATATATTACTATTTTATTTATAATTATAAAAGCATGTGTTAATTTTCAGTATGCTGTTCTGTAAGTGAAAGTATGTTTGAAAATTGTAATGGTGGAGAAAAATTTAGCTGCACTTTACTTAAAACTAAACATACACACATTACAGATAGAGTCCAATGAGTTTTTAAGAAATTTATTGAGCTATAATTAATATATTAAAAGCCAAAAATATATAAGATAAATTATTAGATATGCTCTGACATAGTTATACATACATGAGATCACCATTATTGTCAAGATAGTGAACATATAAATCCACAGAATGTTTCCTCATGACTACTTTTAATAATCCCCTCTTGCAATTATTGTCTCTCCTAATAAGCATATTAGCTAGACAACTGCTGACCATCTTTCAGTATTGTATGTTACTGTATATTGTATATTGGTGCATTCAGAAGTTTTATATAAATGGAATCATATAAGGTGCACTATTTTTTGGCTGGCATTTTTGCTTTACAGCAAAATTCTTTTGAAATTCATTCATGTTGTTGCATGTGTCAGTAGTCGAACATTTTTATTGCTGAGCAGAATTTTGCTGTATGTATATATCACCAATTACTTGTTAATGAATATTTGGGTCATGACCACGTTTTAGCTATTAAAGAGAAAATGCCTATGAACATTTATATACAACAATTTCTTTTTCATTTTTCGAGGGGGAAATATCTAGAAGATAAATGACTAGATTAAGTGGTAAGTGTAGGTTTACTTTTTTAAGAAGCTGTCAATCTATTTTACAAAGTGGTTGTCAATCAAAAGTATATTAAAGTTTCAGTTCCTCCATTTTGTTGCCTATACCTGGTAGGGTCAATACTTTTTTTTCACTTTGGACATTGTAATAACTATCAATAGTATTTCTTTGTGGTTTTCAATTCTTTAATGACTACAGATGTTAAAATCTTTTGATATACTTATTTGTCATCCATGTCTTCTTTCATGGTGTCTTTTTCAATCTTTTGCCTTTTAAAAATTGGGTGATTTGTTTTATTTTTGATTTTTGACAGCTTTTATATATTCTTTATGAAAGTAATTTATTAGTGTGTTGGGGCTCCTTATGACCACCCTTAGGCTCAAAGATTAACTACAATGATTCACAGGTCTTAGAAAACATGTTACATTCATAGTTACAGTTTACTACAATGAAAAGATACAGATTAAAATCAACAAAGAAAAAAAGCCCATGGGGAGAAATGTAGATATCAGGTACAAGCTTTCAGGTGTCCTCTCCCAGCGGAATCCCACAAGAACACACGTAATTCTCCCAGCAACAATATTTGACAGCATATTGAAGTGTTGTCAATCAGAGAAGCTCATTTAAGTTTTGGTCTCCAGGGCTTTTACTGGGCATCAGTCATGTAAGGTGGTGCCTATATGAGTGATTTCAGCTACTCAGACTACAGCATCTGTCAGAGCAAATATAGCCATTCACTCTAAATTATATTGTTAGGATAAACTTATCTGTTCAAATGAGCACAGCATGGTCCAAGGCCTCAGACGCTGAAAACCACTTGTGCACTGTACTCTAAAGCCAAAGATGTATGGAAACACTGTCATCAGGTAGAATATATTAAGGGCCCACAGGTTATCTTCCAAAAGCCAGCCAAGTGCCAGTTCTAAAGATAAACATTAGTCCTGATGAGATAAACCTTTCTTGGCCAATAAGATATATGCTATTCAAATGTTTTCTCAGTTCATAGCTTTTTAAAAAAATATTTTTAAATGCCATTTTCCATTCCTATTAAGCATAGTATTGAAAGTTCTGGCCAAGGCAATCAGGCAAGAGAAAGCAATAAAGGGTATTCAAACAGGAAGAGAGGAAGTCAAATTGTCTCTGTTTGCAGATGACAAGATTGTATATTTAGAAAACCCCATCGTCTCAGCCCAAAATCTCCTTAAGCTGATAAGCAACTTCAGCAAAATCTCAGGATTCAAAATCAATATGCAAAAATAACAAGCATTCCTATACAACAATAACAGACAAACAGAGAGCCAAATCATAAGTGAACTCCCATTCACAATTGCTACAAAGAGAATAAAATACCTAGGAAAACAACTTACAAGGGATGTGAAGGATCTCCTCAAGGAGAACTACAAACCACTGATCAAGGAAATAGGAGAGGACACAAACAAATGGCAAACTATTCCATGCTCATGGATAGGAAGAATCAATATGAAAATGTCCATACTGCTGAAGTAATTTATAAATTCAATGCTATCCCCATCAAGCTACCATTGACTTTCTTCACAGAATTAGAAAAACCTACTTTAAATTTCATATGAAACCAAAAAAGAGGTTGTATAGCCAAGACAATCCTAAGCAAAAAGAACAAAGCTGGAGGTATCATGCGACCTGACTTCAAAATATACTGCAAGGCTACAGTAACCAAAACAGCATGGTACTGGTACCAAAACAGATATGTAGACCAACAGAACAGAACAGAGGCCTAAGAAATAATGCCACACATCTACAGCCATCTGATCTTTGACAAACTTGACAAAAACAAGCAATGGGGAAAGGATTCCCTATTTAATAAATGGTATTGGGAGAACTGGCCAGTGGAAAACTGAAACTGGACCCCTTCCTTACATCTTACACAAAAATTCACTCAAGATGGATTAAAGACTTAAACATAAGACCTAAAACTATAAAAACCTTAGCAGAAAACCTAGGCAATACCATTCAGGACATAGGCATGGACAAAAACTTCATGACTACAACACCAAATGCATTGGCAACAAAAGCCAAAATTGATGAATGGGATCTAATTAAACTAAAGAGCTTCTGCACAGCAAAATAAACTATCATCAGAGTGAACAGGCAACCTACAGAATGGGAGAAAATTTTTGCAATCTATCCATCTGACAAAAGGGCTAATATCCAGAATCTACAAATAACTTAAACAAATTTGCAAGAAAAAATACAAACGACCCCATCGAAAAGTGGTCAAAGGATATGAACAGACACTCCTCAGAAGAAGACATTTATGCGGCCAAAAAACATGTGAAAAAAAGATCATCATTCGTCATTAGGGAAATTCAAATCAAAACCACAATGAGATACCATCTCACTCCAGTTAGAATGGTGATCATTAAAAAGTCAGAAAACAACAGATGCTGGAGAGGATATGGAGAAATAGGAACACTTTTACACTGTTGATGAAAGTGTAAATTAGTTCAACCATTGTGGAAGACAGTGTGGTGATTCTTCAAGGATCTAGAACTAGAAATACCGTTTGACCCAGCAATCCCATTACTAAATAGAAAAAGGATTATGAATTATTCTACTATAAAGACACATGCACGCGTAGGCTTATTGCAGCACTGTTCACAATAGCAAAGACTTGGAACCAACACAAATGCCCATCAGTCATAGACTGGATAAAGAAAATGTGGCACATATACACCATGGAACACTATGCAGCCATAAAAAAGGATGAGTTCATGTCCTTTGCAGGGACATGGATAAAGCTGGAAACCATCATTCTCAGCAAACTAACACAGGAACAGAAAACCAAACACCACATGTTCTCACTCATAATTGGGAGCTGAACAATGAGAACACATGGACACAGGGAGGGGAACATCACACACTGGGGCCTGTCAGGGGGTGGGGGGCTTGGGGAGGGATAGCATTAGGAGAAATACCTAAAGTAGATGATGGGTTGAAGGGTGCAGCAAACCACCATGGCATGTGTATACCTATGTAACAAACCTACACATTCTGCACATGTTTCCCAGAACTTAAAATATAATAATTTTTAAAAAAGAGTAAAAATTTTCACTTTTGAAGAAGTTCAAGTTAACATTTTATTTTACAAATTAAATGTTTAATGTCATATACAGCACTTATTTGTTTCAACTAAGGTCACAAAGATTTATCTTATGTTTATATCTAGGATTTCAATACATTCAGGTTGGCTTTTTATTAATGTTTATATATTTTGCAAGCTATGAATCAAATTTGTTTTTCTATTGCTTATAAATACCCAACTGTTTTACATTTCTTGCTTTGAAAACTATTCCATTTCTTCAAAGCTCATACTTTCCCTAATGAATTGACTTGCTACTTAAAAAAAAATTAACTATATGTGTAAATCTGTTTTTGTATTTTCTATTCTGTTCTGTTGATCTATTTAGTCTTTCTTGAGGACAATATCACACAGTCTTGACTATTTCAAAATCATGAACATGGTATATCTCCCCAAATTTTATCTTTTATTTGAGATATCTGGAAAGCATATAGGTCTAGAAGTTGAAATTTGTTTTACCTATATTAGTTAGTCTTCAAGTAGAAATGATGATGGAAAAGATGGCAGTGATCAAAATTACCTAGGGAGAATGTATAGCATGAAAGAGTAATAGGCAGTTCATGCAGATCTCTGATTTAGCTTACACACCTAGAGGAAGATTAAATGAAGATCAATTTGCAAGTGAATTTAAAATTTTGTTACAAAATTTTAGGAGCTAAATTAGGACACTGCGGTGTTACAGAATCTAAAGAACTATTTTGAGCTGCTTTTGAAAAATAAACATAAAAGTTACCAATCTGTATGATTGACTTTTGCAACATTTTCTCATTGAAAACACATATTCTACAAAAAAAATTATTTTTGTAACCTTATCATTTGGGACTCACTTGATCTAGCAGATCTAAGTACTTATACGTTTTTACGTATGTTCCCATCTATAAATTATCTATTATATTTTCAATGACATTTTCTTCTAATAAAAGCATGCTCAATTTTAACCATTTGTCTTAACTTATTTTGGAGATTCAAGGTACATTTTGTTGTTGTTTTTATTATTTTATTTT
Source organism: Homo sapiens (assembly GCF_000001405.40). Classification (NCBI taxonomy): domain Eukaryota; kingdom Metazoa; phylum Chordata; class Mammalia; order Primates; family Hominidae; genus Homo; species Homo sapiens. The sequence goes on along the minus strand of NC_000004.12, from coordinate 131,864,618 downwards.
ACTTTAATTTCTGGGATACATATGCAGAATTTGCAGGTTTGTTACATAGGTATACATGTGCCACCTATCAAACCATCATCCAGGTTTTAAGCCGCATGCATTAGGTATCAGTCCTAATGCTCTCCCTCCCCTTTCCCTCCATGCCCCAAGAGGCCCCACTGTGTGTTGTTCCCCTCCCTGTGTCAATGTGTTCTCGTTGTTCAACTCTCACTTATGAGTGAGAACATGCGGTGTTAGGTTTTCTGTTCCTGTGTTAGTTTGATGAGGATGGTGGTTTCCATGTTCCTACAAAGGATATGATCTAGTTCTTTATATGGCTGCATAGTATTCCATGGTGTATATATACCACATTTTCTTTATCTAGTCTATCACTGATGGGCATTTGGGTTGGTTCCACGTCTTTGCTATAATAAATAGTGCTGCAATAAACATATGTGTGCATGTGTCTTCATAATAGAATGATTTATATTCCTTTGGGTATATACCAAGTAATGTGACTACTGGGTCATGGGATTTCTGATTCTAGATCCATAAGGAATCTCCACACTGTCTTCCACAATGGTCGAACTAATTTTCATTCCCACCATTCAAGGTATTTTTGATGGTTTGTTTGTTTGTCTATTTTGCATTTCATTTGTTTTTGTAAAGGGAGAAAATTTTGGACTTAGGGAATACCATAATGCTTTAAACTTCGAGTTATTTCTTCTTTTTTTTCTCAAATAATGTCATTTTGTCATAGATCTCTGAAAATGACCTTGAAAACTTCCCATAAAAATCAACAGAACTTATGATGTTCAGAGCATAAGAAATAAATGTCACCTTACAAGATTCATCAAAATGAGCTTAGATGAAATTTTAATTGCCATACTCAAGCCACTTAAATAGTTAACCAAGACATTCTCCCTTGTTTCTACAGTGATACATAGTATTGAAAATTGCTTTGACTGTACACTCAAATTATTACAGTTCAACTTTCTTCAACATCATAAATTGAAAGGATATCATGTGGATCTTTGTTGTTCCCAATTAGAATTGAAAATAACTTCTGGCCAAATTAGTAGTGTAGAGACTTATGGAATGAAGTCAATTTAAAACAGAATTTTTTTGAGTTAATGATAAGAAAGAGTTTGTTGCAATAAAATTCTTTGAAATTTTAGATATGAAATTGGTACAAAAACTTAATACAAATTCATCTACCTGATTTTTTTGTGGCAATGTCACTAATAATAGAAATATGGTCTCATCTTTCCTAAATATTTTGCTCATGCTCTTTGACAATACTGTAAAATGTACTTAAACTACATAAGAATCTTCTAGTAAAATAAAATGCAACATTTCACTTAGAAGTAAAACATTTTTAAAATAGTGTCCAACAATTGCTTCAAGATGGTGACAACCTATGAACACCCTTTTCTAAGTGTTTCCACCCTAATTGGCTTTTTTTTTTTTTTTTTTTTTTTTTTTTGAGACAAAACCTTGCTCTGTTACCCAGGCTGCAGTGCAGTGGTGTGATCTTGGCTCACTGCAACCTCTGCCTCCTGGGTCCAACGGATTCTCCTGCCTCAGCCAACCAAGTAGCTGGGATTAGAAGCAACTGCCACAATGCCCCGTTAATTTTTGTGTTTTTTGTTTGTTTGTTTGTTTGTTTTAGTAGAAGTGGGTTTCACCATGTTGGCCTGGCTGGTCTCGAACTCCTGACTTCAAGTGATTCGCCTCCCAAAGTGCTGGAATTACAGGCATAAGTCACCATGCCTGGCCTCCCCTAATTCGCTTCTTTAATCCTCTCTACATCATCACAAGTTAGGTGTTACTATGATTACTATTTTACAGGTGAGCATATGAGACACAGAGAGGTTAAGGAGGAACAGGGTGATCTGCTACAACTCTTCAGCAGGGCATTCTGGGTAGGACTGTCTAACTTGTGAGAGCCAAGGGGACTATTTATAGCCTATGTATTCCCGTTAAAGTAACAAACATATATCAAGAATAAATATTACAGTATATTTCTAGCAACCATCTAGAAATAGGAAATCGTATCAGTACCATATTGTCAGATGACAGTAGGATTAAATAAAACCGGAGTGACTAAGTAACTCACCCTTTATTCACTGCATTTAAAAGAAAAGTATGTATTGGAGTTGAATTAAGTAACCTGGGATAGATCTCTAAAAATCCGTAAGTGAAGCAGGGGTCACATATTAACATGTTGTACTAGAAACAGTGTCTAAGAAAGGAATTTGGCACTGGAATCTACACAGGGAACAACTAAATTATCCATAAATTTTTTTACTTTATCTTGAAAAAGGTATAGTACCAAAAACTCCAGAAACACTGCTAGACCCTCCATAATATGTGTGGGCTCTAAGATAAGAGTGGAAATAGGGCCCACATAACATATGTATAAATATTTTAACATTATAAAGCAAACTACTCCAATAATCTGGCCTGCGTTTCCACCTAGGTTCTCAATGGCCCACTTCCTGACCACCACCCTCTGGAGTCCAAAGGAGATTTGCTTATTCCCAGTGTTATTCCTGCAGGTCAGCCAAAGAGGAGCAAAGAGTCATCTACCTCAATCATGTTCAGGAAATGATCAGGTCAAGATGTGGAGTGAGCAAGCTTTTCTCTTTTGTGCCACATTTTCTGACCCAGTATTTCAAGGTACTTCTAATACACAAAGACTATTACAAGAGGGAGGAAGGAAGGAAGGTCAGTTATCTGAATAACTGAGGCTAGCTAGAAGCCCAAATTTGGTATGATGGGGGCCATCAAATCTCAACAGAAACAGCTTTCTCTCTCTGTTAACCTGGACAGGGCTTGTGATTTTTTTTTTTTTTCCTCCACTCAGCCATAGACTCTCAGCTACATATACTCTAGCCTGGAGTGGTCAAATCGGCTCATCTCTTTCTCTCTCATACCAAACTTTCAAAAACAAAACAAAACAAACCAAAAAACACTTTTGTTATTGGAATAAATGAGAAAGATGTATTTGTGTTTATCTGTGATACATGGACCATCAAAAGCCTCGCTGCTAATGAAGGCAATTATTTAGGTTTACTTAATCTATTAACTTATCAGTTAATAACTGCTATTTATTCTGCTAGAAATTCCCAATGGTACAATTGTTTCTGGCTGTAGCTCCTTCCATGCTTTGTACATCCTACTTGTGGTAGGCAGAATCACGGCTCTCCACGAATGATGTGATTTGGCTGTATCCCCACCCAAATCTCACCTTGAATTGTAATAATTCCATGTGAAGAATGGGGTCAGGTAGAGATGATTTAATCATGGGGACGGTTTATCCCATGCTGTTCTTGTGGTAGTGAATAAGTTTCATGAGATCTGCTGGGTTTATAAACGGGAGTTCCCCTGCACAAGCTCTCTTGCCTGCCACCACGTGGGATGCGACATTGCTTCTCATTCGCTTTCCACCATGATTTTGAGGGCTCCCCATCCATGTGGAACTATAAGTCAGTTAAACCTCTTTCTTTTATAAATTACCCAGTCTCAGCTGTGTCTTTATTAGCAGTGTGAGGACAAACTAATACAACGGGTGTCCACATTCTAGTCCTCAGAATTTGTGAATATGTTAGTTGCATGGCAAAGGAAAACTGAAATTGTAGACTAAACTAAGGTTGTTCATCAGTTGATATTAAGATAGGAAAGTTATTCTGGATTATCCTGATGTGACCAAAATAATCAGAAGGACATTTACAAGTGGAAGAAGGAGGCAGAAGAAGTTAGAGTGATGAGATGGGAACTCACAAACTGCCATTGCTGGCCCTTTAAAACAATTTAAATCTTGTTTTATGACACATAATTATTGTACATATTTATGGCATACAGTGTGATGTTTCAACACGTGTATGTATAGTTTAAATATTGAATCAGGATATTCAACATATTCTTCACTTCATACATTTTTGATATCTTTACGGTGAGAGAATTCAAAAATCCTCTCTTCTAGCTATTTTGAAATATACAATACAATATTGCTAACCATAGTCACCCTGACTCCATTCCTCATTTTAGAAATGGAGGAAGGGACAGTGATTAAAGGAATGCAAATAGCCTCTGGGCTGTGGAAAACCAAAGGAAACAAACTCTTCCCACAGACCCCCCAAAGAAAAACCCAACCCTGGCAGTATCTTGGTTTTACCATGGTGTGATCAAGTCAGATTTCTGTCTTACAGAACTGTAACATAATAAATCTGTATTGTTTAAGCTACTAAGTTTGAAGTAATTTTACTAAAACTTGAAAGGAATTTACATTTTGCTTTTAAAGTTTTGAAACTTTAGACAGAGATCAACAAATCCTCACAAAAGATAGCTCAAATTTTACCTTTGAAAAAGGAATTATGTTACATATCTATAAGAATGAATAACTACAGCACAGAAAAATACTCATAAGTAATATATTATTTGAAATCAGGAGTCTAATAAGAGAAAATGCAAATGGACCCTTTTCTATGAGATTTAGATAAATTACATGAAAAAATATGTGTGATAAGAGGTATGTGTTCTGAGTTAATACATATACTTATAAAATCTGAAAAAATTGCAACAGGAACAATAAATATGGAAATTGAAATCACAAAAAAATCAATGAATTTGAAGACCATTTGGAGAAATGCTTATATCATCTTAAGATTAATTTATTCTAATCATGCACCAGTGATAGTATTATAAGAAAAAATAAATTCATTATCATTTTTTACTGTATTTATTTTTTAAGACAGAGATTGGTACTAATTCAGTAATGGAAAACTAATTGTAAAATTTGTACTGTGGTAAATTTGGAAAACAAGGCATGGCACAGAAAGAGCATATAATAAAATAATTTGGCATAAAGGCCATTTGAAAGGGATTAATTATAGTGACGAAACATGTCATCATTTCCTGGACAAGTAGGGAAGATAAGCAATGAGAAGGCTATGGAGGAGAGAGAAGAGAGTAGAGTCCATAGAGTGACAGTCTTCAAGAGGTTAAAACCTGTACGAGTTCAGGTCTTGAACAAGTGATATTGGATGAAATGGGAGGTAGAGAGGACCAAAGAGTAGGATATTTTAATTTTTTTAAAATATTGAGAAACATTTGCTGTCTAAAATAGAGAAGAAATGTTATTAACATGCATGGTGGTCAAGAAACTGACAGGTAAGATTTGAAAGTGTTACCAGTTTGAGGTAAGCACAATAGAGAATAACGACAGAGTTTATAATGGAGAGAATGTCTTTGAAAGCCAAAAGCAAAAGTTGTCTTAATAGAGAAAGAAACCAAACAAAGGTTTGAAAAAGCATTTGAATGGAAAGTTTGGTGTAGACTTACGTTATGAACCATAAACTGTCAAAGTTTATTGGTGATGCTTGTTGGTTTATTTACTTGTTGGTTTTCAGAAGGAAAGAACTATAATAGACTGATAACTACAAATTAACTGAAATTGTATATACCCCGCATCCTCATCATTAGGCAGGTGAAGATGGGGTGAGCAAAATAGTAGCAACCCATTGAAAGGGCTGTTGAAGGGGTTATATTTTCCAGACATATCAGGAGTTCAAATTTTTATTAAAAATGCAAAAACAGTTTGCTAATCAGAACATAAGCATTCAATATCTATCACTATCAAGATGTGAGATAAGGGATAGGTAATTGATTCTGTTGGAAAAGCAGAGTCATATAATGATGAAAGTCTGATAATACCTCTGTGACTTGAAAGTGACAGAAGTAAACAGGAACATGAAGCAAAGAGTTTTAGTTCTGATAGTCTCTTTGAGGAGGAGGAATAATGGCACTATTGTCATTTTTTGAATATTTCCCCTAGTATTTTTAGTGATTTCACAAATCGTTCTAATGCCTTAAAGGACTACCACTCTGGAATATCACTCAAAGCAATGTTCTTGTGAGGATTAGGCTTAATGAAAAGTCCTGTAATGCTTGGACACATGGAAAGCTGACCAGTATTAGATAAAACAAAATTGTTATAGTTGGGAATTATTACTATAGGTATTTTCCTCATCATTTTGCAACATTTATAATTTTTTCTTAATGAAATATGTTGATTTTTCAGTGTTTTTATAGTAAAATTGTATTACATTTAAAAAATTAATAGAGAACTATTCTGTTGAAGACAATGAATGCATATTATGCTTAACATGTTAATATGTGTTTCACATTATTTATAGATTTTGTCTACAGCATTGAAATTTGCTAGAATGCTGCATATGTAGAGCTTAATGTAATCACTTCCTAACTATAATCTCTGGAGCCAACCCAGTTACAACAAAATTAACTCTAATTTTGTGTCTTTTATTTGTTTCTACTTCTAGGTTAAATATGGTTTGAGAAAAGTGTTTTAGAAAACTTTGAAAAATCACTGGCTTGTTAGAATGCATGTTCTATTAAAAGATATGAGTCCTATCTCCAGGTTACTTAAAATATTAGTTTTATTCCAAATTGTATTCTAGTTTTCCTATCTTTAAAATATGTTCATGAAACATTTCTCTTCTCTTATGAAGTTAAATGTTCTTTTAAGTTTGAAATTTATTAGAGAACTCTGATATATGATTTTTAAAAAATAACACTCTGAATTACTTTCTAAAATGGAAAGCAACCCTAAAACAAAAAGATATTACCAATATTCAGTTTTACCTCTGGCTTCAACTTATTTTTCTCTCAAGATCTTATTATTCTCTTCTCCAGCTACCCAAGGTGCGAAAAGGAAAGAAGGCCAAAGGGAAGAAGGTGGTGCCGACCCTTGCTGTCTTGAAAAAGCAGGAGACCGTGAAAGTGGTGAATCTTCCGTTTGAGAAATTTGGCACTGGACAGGACATTTTGGCATTGGACAGAACATCCAGCCCAAAAGGCACCTCACTTGCTTTGTCAAATGGCCCCATTATACTAGGTTGCAACAGCAGAGAGCCATCCTCTATAAGCAGCTAGAAGTGCCTTCTGTGATTAATCAGTTCACCAGGGCCTTGGACCACCAAACAGCTGCTCAGTGGGGTAAGCTGGCTGGCAAGTACAGACCACAGACAAAGCAAGAGAAGCAGCAGAGACTGTTGGCCTGGGCTGAGAAGAAAGCAAAGGAGACATCCCCACTAAGAGATCACCTGTCCTTTTAACGGGGGTTAACTCTGTCACCACCTTAGTGAAGAAAAAGAAGGCTCAGCTGGTGGTGACTGCACAGGACATAGATCCCATTGAGTTGGTTGTCTTCCTGCCTGCCCTGTATTGTAAACTGAGCGTTCCTTACTGCATTGTCTAATGGAAGGCAAGCTTGAGACATCTAGGATTAAAAAACAAACAAACGAACAAACAAACAACAACTCTTTAAAATATTCTTTTAAAACTTCTAATTATTAGTTTTTTTTTAAATCTCTTCAGTACATTAAAATGTCTGGTGGTAGGAAAATACTGGACTCATATATGACTGTCTACTTGATTTGCAGGGCCCAGTGCAAAATGAAATGGATGTTGTACCTCGTTCAAAGTGTTAAGCGTTTCAAGATGGCAACAGCAGAGCATTAGGCCAAGTATGAGGTCATTATGTACATGGGTCCTCGTGTGACCACACAGGTCACAGGAACATGAAGCTAGACCTGAGTGTATATTCAGATAGGTAAATCTTACAGATTTTTAAAACTCAATAAAAGAAAAACTACATTTCATGTATAAACACAAAAATTGGAATTAAATTGGCAATAGCATTGGGATTTGTGCTCAGAGTCACAGTTTACATCTGACCACAATTTCCATATGAATTTATTAAGATAAAACAGTAAGAATTTTAAAGAAGGTTTCTGAAATTTAAAAATTATAATAACATAATTAACTTTGATATTTTAATTCCATGTAATTTAAAACATTTAATAGATATATAATGTTCCACTATTAATTTAACTAGAAGTATAAAAATAAAACATATATAATAAAAATATTCTACTTACTTTTAAATTATCTATATTATACTGAGTAAAAGAAAATTTAGGAATATAAATAAATGAGCATTTTTGAACACATAAAAATATTTTCTTGCTGTTTTTAGGAGACTTTTAGCAGGAGAGGAGCTTACCTCTCATCTACCTCTGCTTGGACAAACCAGTGATGTGATTTGCAAATAGGTTGTAACTTCACCCAAAACACATCACAGTAAAGAAATGTAGTGACTTCCAGAGAATTTGACCTAACTAAGAATTTGTAAAAGAGAAAAGCATTGTCCTTATGCCTAAAGTACATGACTGTTTCTTTTTAAGTTACATGTATATTTACCTGACCAATTTGTTTTACTCTGTATTTCAAGTTATCAAGTGAAATTATTTTGGAATAAATTAATGAGTTGTTTGTTCTGAATAAATGTGCATGTTACAAATGCAAACACGTGTATGTATTATACAACTATGCAGCTTCAAGAGCTGACTTATTTCTATCAGCTTTTTATTCACTTTAAAAAATCAGGCTACTGAAGCATATTAGAATTTAATTACACCAATTAGTACTGCCACATCAGAAATATGATGCGCCTTCAATTAAGAAGTACCTAATGGGTATTAGTACAATTTAGCTTCATAATTAAACTTCTAAGAACAGCACAAATTAAACATTATGATTACAAAACATTAAAAATCTACTGGTGAAATTAAAGCTGAATATTTTAGCTTCTCCTTTTGAGCTGATTTTAAAAAAGAAAATCAGGATTATATAAAATGCAATGTTATTATTGAAGCATTCTGAATTTAAAAACAGAAATTAAGATCACATGCCCATAAATATGTGCATATATAATGATTAAATATTTAATAAAATATCCAACCTAACACTTATGTCATCTAATAAGCATTAAAGGTTATCATTTTGGAGTTTCACTTGATTGGGTTTTTTTTGTTTTGTTTTTTTCATAGAAATATTTGATATATGTGGTCACCACTCACAACTCTTGCTTCAGTGAGCATGGATGACAGGCAGCCCCAGCTACTGTTTTTCTGGTTGTATGACTATCTTTGCACTCAGGCCATATTTTCTCTGGCTGTTCCTGGCCAATGACTGAGCATGCTGGGAGTATTGATGAAGGCCATTTTTAAGATTTGTGGTAACCTTCCAACAGAAGACTTTGGACTGGAGACTCCTATTGTCCGGGCCAAAATTTCCTAAACTGTGTTTCAGGCTGTGACTCTTTCATTCTCATCTTTCTTCCTTCTCCCCCTCTTTTGACAGAAGCCAGGCTTGCATCACTGAAGACTCCCTGCACTTAGGTCTGCTTTTTCTTCTTAATCTTTAACTAATGTTCCTCTTATAACCTTTTGAGTGACTAATAATTGCATAGTATCAGCTTCTTGGAAAACCTGACTTGATAAACTATCCTATTTGAAATACAGATATATACGCATTTAACAATTTTTGACATTATTAGCACATTGAGTATTAAATAGTATCTGAAGAGATACCTTTAAAAATGAAAACACCTTCCTATTGGGGTTTTCTTCAAAACAAATAGATTATTTTTAAAAAGATTACAACTATAGCAACTTCAGTCTCTCCTGTTTTATCTACTTGAGTGATTTGCTTTCTCTGCCTTTCTTAAAGTGATTGGTTAAAACGTTTTAGCACTTAGCAGTTTCTTCCTAGTTTTGCAGATATGGCCCTGAACTGGCTTATGAGTAAGGCAAATAGAGGATGTTCTTACTGGGCTAGTGCTTTTATTTCTCTCTTTCGCTTGTTCTATTTTTTAAGTGAAAATGGCATTAGCATCTTATTTGTCAGGCTTTCATTTTCGTGTTTGAGAATTCCACTTGTAGATAACCAATAGCTATAACCTGTTCAGGTCTTTAAAAAATATAGCTTATTGAATGAGCAGTCACACACAAGAAATTCCGTTCTTCCCATAGTCCATCATGCTTTACCCGTATTCAACTTCTCACTTCTGTATCTAAAAACACTAGATTTTATCATTCTACTTTAAAGTTTCTTTCTTTTTTTTTTTTTTTTACTTTTCCTAAAATACTCAAATTTCCATAAAGGAACAAGGGATAAAGCTTAAGCATAACTTCAAAAGAGACATAAGCAGCGTGAACAAGATCCAAACACAGGCTCTCTTGATGTAAAGATAGACCTTTAACCATGTGCAATCTGTCCATTAAGAAAATAGAGGACTCTAAACACAAAATTAAGAGTATAGTTCTCTCTGTGTGGCTGAAAAAGAGTGAAAGATAACTGCAAAATTATTGATACTGTTCTTATGCTTAAATTGGGTTGTGTGTTTACATGTGTTCATTATGTTAATATGTCTCATAGGTTAGGTATCTTAATCAAATATGCAGTTATATAAATACAATACACTGAGATAAGATAACTAGCAACACATTGAAACAAAAAACAAGAATAGGATTGAATACTGTCATGATCTTTATAAGGCCTGGCCTTTCACTATGTAAATAGATATCTTTTAGTCCAAGAAATCGCAGAACTTACACATTTTTAGAAAAAGAAGAAAAAATTCATAGAATAAATTAATTTTATGTCCTGTAAGCAAAAGTCTACTAAGGTGAATTCATAATATCCCATAACAGCAAAAAAGAATGCATTCAGAAGTCCTAAATCTATAAACAATAAAAATAGTTAAGCACATAGAATTTACTTAAGTTCAAAAGCATCATGTTCATTAGACTTATATAATTCTTGTAGCGTTTAGTACATCCTGGATAATTCTTATTCCCATTGTTTGTTGCTAAGCACATTGAAATTTCACATTAATAATATTATTATTTTTTAACTTTCATTTGTATTGTAACTGTTGGTTTTAACTGATGAAGATGCAAAACAAAAATAAACATTCAGGTAAATAACTATTTTCTAGAAAGATCCAACCTGTAAGCTAGCAATATGGTTTGATTCTTTCTTTTAAAGTTATGTTATTATAAGTATATAAGCAATTCAGATAATAGATCCTGGGTTATGATGCATATCGTATTTGCATAAGCTTAATATATTTTAAAGATAACCAAAAAAGATAATGTATAATTAAAACTATAAATAAACACATTACTCAACATAATTACTCCTTAAATATTCAGTCCATTTAATATAGGTCTTTGCTGCTGTAAATGAACTCCCATGAGCTTCTAGAGAGACTCGTTTTATTAAATGTTATAGTCTCTGGCTCTGACCAATCATAGCGCTATAGACACTGTTATAAACAATGTAATAAGCTGCTAAAAAAGCAAGAGGTATTTTTTATTTTTTTGTAATTTGATTTTATTATCATGTTTTCATACCCACACAAAATAATCAATACATTAACATACAACCATCACACATATTCAACAATTATCATAATTTTATTGTTTCTGCTTAAGGTATCCCTGTTCTCTTCTTGCCAAATTATTTTAAAAATATATCTCAGAATGTAATTTTATACCTACATACTTAAGGATACATCTCTAGAAAATGCAGATATTTAATAATACATTGTTGCACAGTTTATTTTTCTTCAGGGTCTCAATTCAAATATTGTTTGTTATTAAAAAACCGCCTCTAGCATATGTTTTACTATATATTTAAGAATATAATTTGGAAAAAAAAAGTCTGACACATAGTCCATGTTCAATTTACCTCTTCAACTAATCTACTAAAAGGAAAAAAATGACACCAATACTTATTACTCTTCCCTGAAGTTATCTTATGATATTTTTAGATTTTGAAATCCTGTAAAGTGTGCTCATTATTGGTTTCAAGTACATGTTTCCTAACTCATTTCAATCTCTTCTATAATCAAGTGCAAGAGAAAATATAAAATAGGCCCTATGATTGTAGAAATAAAAGTGGAAAAAACTAGCCTAGAGTTCATAAAAGTAGACATATAAAAATCTTGAAATGATAAAGGCCATAATCAATTAATTGAAATTAAAATTATTCCTTTGAGTTATTTTTGGGTATTCTTCCAGTTTTAGTTTTTGTTTGTTTGTTTGTTTGATGTTGCAAATATCACAGTGTATGCCTTCTTCTTTTTTTTGAGACAGAGTCTCACTCTGTCGCCCAGGCTAGAGTGCAGTGGCGCGATCTCGGCTCACTGCAAACTCCACCTCCTGGGTTCACACCATTCTCCTGCTTCAGTCTCCTGAGTAGCTGGGACTACAGGCGCCTGCCGCCACGCCCGGCTTATTTTTTGTATTTTTAGTAGAGATGGAGTTTCACCGTGTCAGCCAGGATGGTCTCGATCTCCTGACCTCATGATCCGCCCGCCTCAGCCTCCCAAAGTGCTGGGATTACAGGTGTGAGCCACTGCGCCTGGCCAGTGTATGCCTTCTAAACGCAGAGACTGTAGTAAATATATATATAAATGTAACATAAGCATATAAAATAAAATGTGGCAATTACTATTCAATTAAAAATACAGGGACATTTGGGAGAGCATAACAAGTAAGGGAGTGAATACGTGCTGAGATAAATACATTTTTGTTACATGAGTCAGGAGTTAAAAAAATAAATGAAAGATGAGAGATTAGGATATAAAGTATATGGGGTGCCAGTTCATATAACACTTTATATTAAAGGAATTTGAGCTTTTGGGTGAAACAATGGAAGCTATTGGGAGTTTTAAGGGGATTTATATGAAGGAGGTACAATAGGAGTCTATAGCACTAATCTAAAGTGGTAAGTGAATGGAAGTCAAAGCTATTTAGTGGAGTAGGTTGAACCAAAATTGATGACTAAATACATGGTGTGTAAAGGAAAGGAAAAGTTTAAGACTGAGTCTTGGGTATCTGGCATGCATAGTATACTAACAATGATATACACAGTTACTTTCACGCTTACTGAATGAGTAGTGGTCAATGAAATACAGAACAAAGTCATGCAATTCACTTTCAAGTTGTGTTCTTAAAACTTCCCATGGCACCCATGAAGATTTCAAGAGTCATTTGTTATTATATCCCATCTTGACTAATACCAAGTTGTTAGAAAAAAATGAAATACTATTGTAACAATAAGCTAAAATAAGTGGTATTGTCTTAACAATGAGAAAGAGCATGCGGAAACTTCAGATCATAGATGATGAAAACTGTTTCCCCTATCCCCACTCCCAAGAAGGGAGAGGTTGAGATTATACAAAATGATTAATCGATGTGTTCTTCCCAGAAAAAAAAAAGGCAGAGTTTAATCAAATAACTTTTCCAACCTTTAGTATATGGTTCATTCAAACTGTCTGACCTGTAGTGTTTCAGAATTACCAATGGTCAGTGGTTTCTATGTACTATACCTTATATTTTGCCTTTCTAAATGGGCTATGAGCATTACATATCTTAGCTCATTTATCTTTTAAATAACTTTAAGAAGCTAGTATTATTATTAGCTCGATTTTGCTCGTGAGAACATTGAGATGTAGAGATTCAGAGTAGCCAGTGTTTGGTATAACTCTGATTTAAATTTAGTTCTGTCTTATTATAATATTAAACAAGTATGTGACTTCATAGTGTAATGAGTCTCATTCAAAATATACAGCAGTTGCAGCCTAACATCTTGTTACTTTAGGTGGTGACATAATGTACTGACTCATATTGAGCACTTCTAAGTGTAAGTTTTAAGTAGCTTTTTTTCTTTAGAAAGGTGCTGAAGATAATTCAAATACTTTTTTGCATATTATTTTGTGTCCCTGTAGATTGCTAGTACTACGAAGGCAGGGCCATATATATTGTATTCATCTCTCTATATTCATTTTCTAATGCTGGTCCAAGAAACAGGTTGAGATGTTAAGTAGGGAGGCCGTAGAAAACATCATTGAAAAGATAGCATTTATGCAAAAATTTAAAGGTGGTGAGGGATTAAACATGTAGATATCTGAAAGAAGGGAACCCAGGCAGAGGGAAAAGACAGTGCAAAAGCCCAGGACAGGCCCATATCTGGCTTGTTTGAAGGGGTTCAAGGAAACCAGTGTGGCTGGAGATGAGTGAGGAAGGGAAGTTAATGATGAGCACACAGAAGTAACTTGGGCCTTGATATACGTTTTTAATTTTAAAAAATATATATTATATTTAAATGACATAATAATTGTACATATTGACAGGGTATTTTAAAACTCACACTGCCTTAGAATTTTACCATCAATGAAAGAGAGGGTCACTATAGGTCCTAAGAAGAGAAGTGACATGCTCTTTTATGTAAAAATGATGACTGTGGATATTGTGTTGGTAACTGACTGTAAGGGGACACTTTTAGAAAAAGTCCCCTCTTTAGATATTGACTTTATCCAAGAGGAAAGCAGTAGTAATTCACACGTCAGTAGACATGGTGAGAAGTAGTAGATTCTAGATATTATAAAGTCTTTGAGTTTAAGCAACCAGAGGAAGGACTTGCCATCAAATGAAATGGATAAGCATAAACAGGTTTGGTAGTGGCTGGGAGATGGAAATCAGCAATTTCTCTTGAGTCATACTTACTTTGAGATTTCCATTAGGTATCTGAAGCAATCAGAAACTAGCCAGGAAAATTGAAATCATTGAGAATTTAAAACAAAGGGAATTGATACAGGTAATTGATGGTAAAAATAACTTTAAAAAAATTAAACCCAGCCAGGGGACAGTGAGGCAACCTACAATTTAGCAACAATGGGAGGCTACTATCACCTTCCCTTGGAGAACAGGGATAGGAGGCTGTACTACTGGAGCTGCAGGGAGGGATATCTGGGGGAAGTTGGAACCACAGTGGGCCTATGTAAAGGAGCAGGAGCCTGTAAAAAATGCAACTGTTATTAGGGATGACAGGGAGAAATTGAGACAATATCTAGATTTCTCCTTGTTCCTGCCTTTCATCTTTCTACATGAGTTTCCTATTGTTTGAGCCTACCTGGAAGCCAGCTTTCAGAAAATCTGAGATACGTAATCCACAGTGTTCATCCCCTCTGTCTTATGAACTGAGCTGGGCAGAGTGAGGAATGGGTCTCAGGAAAAATAGACCCATTATCATCACAACATTCAGGTGGAAGTGTAAAAAATGCAATTGGATTTATAAGTGTGGAATTTGGGATAGAGATATGGCATGGAAATATAAATTTGGGAGTCATTAGCATTTACAGTGCATGTAAAACCATGAGATTGGATGAGATAACCAAGGAAAGAAGTGCAGAGAAAGATGAGGGTGGGGGGAAATAAAATACTGAGGCCTGGGGCATTCCAACATTGAATCTGAGGAATAGAAGAAAACACTGAAAGAGAGAGAGAGAGGGAGACAGAGAGAGAGAGAGAGAGAGAGAGAGAAGTATACAAATAATATAAAACCAGGGAGTCAAATGAAGATAGTATTATGAGAATAATATACTTCAAATGCTGCTGATAAATCAAGTAAGGTGAGAAAAATAACTATAAGATTAACAAAGTGGAGGACAGGTTTAATTAGAGTACTGGGGGGCAAAAATCTATATGGAAGTGAAATGATTAAAGAGAAAATGCAACGAGCAAATGACACGGTGAGTATAAATTATCCTTTTAAAGAGTTTTGGTGAAAAAGGGATCAAATTCCCTGGTGGTATCTGACAATGAAAATGGGGAAAATGAAGAATACTGGTTGCTTATTTGCTTTTATTTTCTAATATGACAGAAGTAATAGCATATTTGTATGATCATGAAATGACCCAATAATGAGGAAAATTTGATTATGTATAAGAGGGGTAAGTATTGAAAAGTATCTGTCTATAACCTGTGTAGTCAGAAAGAGTTGATAAACAAGTAAAGGTGTAAGCTTGAGGTAGGTGTATAAACATTCCATTTCTGGCAGTGGTTTTCTTTAAGGAGAGATTTCACTCTGCAAGGAGCCAATTGGCAATGTTTGGAGATGTTTTCTGTTGTCACAACTTGTGAATGGAGTTACTACTAGCATCGAATTGGAGAGGCCAGGGATGTTGCTAAACATCCTGCAACATACAAGGCAATCTTTCCAACACCCCATCCCAAACATAGAATTATCTGGCTCAGTTTGTCCATAGTACCAGAGAAAAGACCCTGCTCTATTAATATGCAGGATGAGTAATGTGTAATTTTAGATACTGGCGTTAAGTATATGTAGTACTGGGAGTCTGCATGCATTTCCTCTTGATTGTTATTTATCTATCTATTTATTTATTTATTGACACAGGAAACAAGGTCATCACCTGGCATTGAGATTGAAGAAAAGTATGTGAGGGCTGTGAAATGAGGAAAGAATCCATAAGTTAATCTTACATAAGAGGAAGAAGGCAATGGCTAACAAAAGAAAAATGGGCTTGTTTGGCCGCATTAAAGGCACATTTGCTTTTCAAGGTTGTGGTTTTAAAGAGATAACAATCAGCACAATTTGGTTGTGTGTTTTTCTCCCACTGCAGTTTGGGTATAAAAGCAATTGCAAAATTGATGGAGACATGCATGAAACTAAGGCTATAGTTTTGCTAAGTCAGTCATGTTTAGTAGATAGAAACTTATTTGATGACCAAGGGTGGCACAAAATGTTTAAAAGACTGAATATGTGACATAATAAAGCACATTTATGAAACAGTAAATTGCTTTTTGTAAAGGTGGATTATTTGATGTATCTTGAAGAAGAAATAACAACTGTGAATCAAATATTTATTTATGAAATTGGCAGAGAGTAAAAGATTAAAGTTTTAATGATCAGATTGTCATTTTAGAGTAATTATCATTATACGACAGTGAAGAAAAGTTTGAAGAAGTTAAGTTATAGAAAAAGGATACTATTGTTTTAAATAAATGCACAGGTCTAGCTGTGATTTCATTAAGATGATTTCATAACTGTAACAGTAACAATAGGAATATTGAGGACAAGAATGTTGAGGACAGGAATTAAAGAGA
The DNA here is from genome assembly GCF_000001405.40 of Homo sapiens. Lineage (NCBI taxonomy): Eukaryota > Metazoa > Chordata > Mammalia > Primates > Hominidae > Homo > Homo sapiens. The sequence goes on along the minus strand of NC_000004.12, from coordinate 131,847,795 downwards.
AATTTATTGGTTGAAATAAATTAGGTTTTTAGATGCATTATGATTAATGTTTAAGAAGGAATATATAATTTCTAGTCAATATATAATAATGCAAATTTAACACATAAGAAATATTGATAGAAAAAGCATTCTACCTTAAACATATTGCTAGACCATGTGAGAGAGTTCTGTAGAATAGATTCAAGAATGGTGTGGAAAGAGGTAGTACCTCCTGATCAATTTTCTCCCCTGATGGGGTCAGGTGTGGAGGAAAACTCCTGGGAAATAAAGAAGTCAGGTGTTCTAGTTTAATTTTTCTGCAAACATATTAATGCAAGTCTCTTAGAAAATAAACTAAATAGTTTTTGGTAGCAAAAGAATCATTCTTCATAAAATGTTTTTAGCAGACCATGCGGAGTTGTCTAAAATTGCTTATGAAAAATAAGCCAGGAATCAATAAATGTAGGGTGATGATTCCCAAGAAAATGTCATGTTAGCTGTGTTGCTATCTAAGTATAAAAGGAGATGGTTTGTAACTGAGAATACACCTGAGTAAGTAAAGCAACTGTACATTTTACTTAGAAACCAAATCTAGAAACTTGGACCAGACCACATTCAATGAAGATGAAAGGACCCAGGTCTCTCCCCACTTAACCCATATATGATTATTTTATCTTTGAAATTATTCAGAAAGCATGATACTGAGCAAAATCTTCAATCTGAGTCTGATTTGACAATTCAATGCTTTTTGTGGGTTCAGATTGGCACTGTGAGCAGGATTGTCTTTTAGACCCACACATCAAAACAGTGAATGTTTTCTTTTTCTACCTGTGCTCCTTTTCAAAAGGAGATAATGGAAAAATATGAGAATTTGTTCTCAGGATAGTTGGCTGTACATTTTTGGTATGAGGTAGTGGAATCTTTGAGGCAGGCTAAGGGAAATAAGTCTTACCATTGAAATCTGGGGGCCATAGACTATAGTCTGGGAGTACAGGTCTAGGGAGTACATGGACAAAGGGAAATTGGGTGAAAATCCCATTGGCTGACTCCTGCTAGCATACCTGTAAAAGCTAACCTTTTAATAGGTTAGTTTTTAATAGGAGGAGATGATAGTGGGAGTAAAAGCTGCGAGATTACATTTTATTCGCTGGAAAACCTTCTTATCCCTCCCTGGTTTCTTGGAGAAATTTCATGTATCCTTAGAAATGACTCAAAATATTGATTATTGGACAAACTATTTATGCAATTGGAGTCCAAGGTCAGGTGATGAATGAAAACTATATTTTATTAAAGAACAGAATATTCACTAACAGAAGACTGGTGAATTAACATTGGCATGGATTCTTCAAATTAATGATGGAGGACTTGTTGCAATTCTATTATTATTTGATGCAAAGGACTATTCATGGTCATGACTAATCATTAAATGGCTGTAAACTTTTGAGAAAACACTTCCAAATACTGTGATAGCATATCGGCTGCAGTTGTTAAGGTGAGATTTGTCAGTCCTATACTGAGAAGGGTAACTGCTACTATTCCTCTCCAAATTGCCAATTGGATTCTCCTTTTCACATGATAGGAATGATACAAGTGTAAATGTTGACAGGCTTTATATTTTCCAGAGAGAAAACACCTTAGTTAATGTTATTGATACAAATAATAAGAGATAGAGTGAATGGGATAAGCTAATGATGCTCTGTCTTACAAGACTTATATAACCTTGAGAGCCAAATATATATATTCAGAGAGCAGTAACAAACATACAGGTTTAGTTACTATACATGGGATTACATGAAGAAAAAGCATTTATATCATGTGCACAACAGGGAGAAATTAAAAATCAGAAGAGAAAATAGAAAGGCAGCTCACTTGAATTAATTTACTTTTGAAGAAAATATAAATAGGATTTAAAAAGTAAGCCTTGATAGAATTTTTAATAAGAAAGTAAAAGCACATTATAAACTTTTGAATCAGAGGAGGGGAGTACTGTAGCACCCACCAATTCCTTAAAGAATCATAGAAAATTTGCTTTATTTATTATGGCTGAAAGAGTTCAAATCCAATTATGAGGATAGTGATATAGAAGAGAATATACTTGAACAGGGGGCTGAGTTTACTGACTTAATTAAAGCCATAGAATCTGAAAACAATTAAATAAAGAACTGAGGTCTGTTCATTCCAGTCCCAGTCATGGATCTGAGGCCATATATATAATAATTTGAACAAAGTTACCTGGAGTGGTATTCAAAGTTTCTTATCATTGGTAGGATGTAGAGCAGAATTTACAGTAGGCCTTATGGAAGGTAGGAAAGAGCCTCATACATGCTCTAAGTGAAATCTGGAGTGCATGAAGAGAACATCAGGGAGGAAACCAAGGTAAAGATGAAGTTACAGGTTGGAATGTGTGGTTGGAGAGAATATTACCTGCTTGTGCTACCTTTACATAAATACAAAATTGCAATTGTCATTCAATATGAATGGGACATTGTTGTCTTTGTGTTTCCACAGAGGATGAAGACTAAGCTCACTCTTCACCAAATTTTAATCAGCCATGCCAAATGGGATCCTTTGGAATTGCTCAAGCTCTCCACAATAGTAAACATTAAGCAATGCAGAATTCCAAGGGCGCAATAAGAGACTACTGTTGTAATTAAGAAAATGGTTCAGAAGGAAGTTCCCCTCCCCACATTAACTTCCTTTTTGTAGTTCTAACTGGTCAATAAGTAGGTAGCCCCTGGACAGTTACAGTAGAGTATCAAGGTGGTTCATTTGCATGCTTCATCTGTACCTGATATGATTAAGAATGTACAGAAAATAAAGTAGACAAGAGGCTCTGATATGTTATCAAGATTAACTACATAATTCGTAGAGCTGAGTATAAAATGAAAATGCATGGATACTTACTCAAAAATTATGAAGAATTTCAAGATAGCTACAACAGAGCATTAAACCAATCTCAGGGGCCTCCTAAGATTTTTTTTTTTTTTTAATTTCAAGTAGGAATATTTTAAGCTTTGCAGAATAGAAACAAGTATATGTTTACTGTCTTATCATGGATTTTTAAAAAAATTCATTATCACATTTCCATAATCTGGTAAAGAATAACCTAAAAGATAGAGTTCATATACTACTTTCATGGTATGATGATAATTTTCTTCTCAGAGCAAAAATTAGGAGAGGAGTTAAGGACCATAGTCACCCATATTACAAATAGAAGCTGGCTGATAAATCCAGCTATAATTTAAGGCACAGCCCAAGGTGCAAATTAATTCCTGGAAATTAGTACAGATCAACTTAGGACATTCCTTAAACTGCAACTAAATCCTGTAAATTAGTGCAGATCAACTTAGGACATTCCTTAAACTGTGAGAAGTAATTTATCTTTCATAGGACCCATCAATAAGCAATAAACTCAGAGACTGTCAAGACTGTTCTAAGAATCTTGTCTACCCATACTCACAAAATAACTGGAAAGAGTTCAGAACGTGAATACAGCATTGTAGTACTTTCCTAGGGCTGCTGGAACAAATTACCACAAACTGGGTAGCTTAAAACAACTGAAATTTATTATTTCACAGTTCTGGAGGCTAGAAGTCTGAAGCCAAGGAGTCAATAGGGTCACGCTTCCTTGAAAAGCCACAGAAAAAAATCTTTTCTTGCCCCTGCCTAGGTTCTACTCTCTCTTACAAATTTTTGGAGCTTTATTACTTATAGATTTATTACTCCAATTTCTGCTTTCATTTTCAATCTCTTCTCCATGGGTCCTCTCTTCTTATAAAAACACCTCCAGTCATTGGAATTAGGACCCTCCTTAATCTAGTAGGAGCTCATCTTAACTAATTATATGTGCAAATTTCTAAAGAAGGTCACCTTCTGAGATTCTGAATGAGTAATAATTTTAGAAGAGCACTATTTAACTCACTGCAGGTACGGAATAGAAATAAGCATGAAAAGTATTGTGGTAGGTGGTAGCACAGGCAATAACATTAGGCCCTTATGATCCCATCCAACTGGTCAGATGATATTAGGGCATACCCAAACTAGAGCCCTTTAGGAAAAGTTAAATGGGACCACCAATTTAGACTCCTCACGATTTTGACTCAAAATATGCCTGTGGCAGCTGTTTGCTATAATCCATTTGAAAGACACATGCTGTTGCACTGAATGACACAGCCAATGTCAACAGGAAGGACCAGCTACATAACTTCTGTAACCCAGTGAAAAATGAAAAGCAAGACCCCTTGCTCAAAAATTTTTAAGGGTTCATTTAGTGAAACCATTGCTTCCTGAGACTACTATGAGAAATAAATCACAAAATCCACTGTGCCTTACTAAAATCAACAGGTAGTAATGAGGGAGTGAAGGGGAATGCAATAATATATAACTTTATATCTTTCCCACATCTAATACTTTTATTTGGCCTCTAATGGTGGTCTCAAACCCAGTTTTAAGTTTACTTGCACCAGAGGAAGATTATACATTACCCAAGACGTGATATTCTTGTCATTTAATTTGACTGTGCCTTTTCTGAAAGGTAATTTGTGGTGGATCAAAAGTTCCTTCCTATGTAATCAAATTAGGGCTAAAGGTGAAGGTAGCTCCATTATCAAGCAGAGGAGAGACTTCTGAGGTCCTCTGTCTATCACTTATAACATTTGTTTGACAACAAACCCCATGACACAAGTTTACTTGTGTAACAAATCTGCACATGTACCCCTGAACTTAAAATAAAAGTTAAGCAAACAAACAAATAAAACCCAAACATTTGTTTGGGTGTGCTAGTAAGGTTCTTGTTATTGATTGTGTGGGCAAACATTATGCATGATGAGTTATACAGCCTGATATTGGGAGGAAGCATTTGGAAATAGGGTAAAATCATAGCAGATGGGAAAGGTGTTTATAAGTAGATTACATTACCGTGGAGGGAAGCCACTACAATATTTTCATGCAAACAGCTCAGAGTGAGGATATCATACTTAACTATCTTTTGCTATTTTCATCCAAATAAATGGGCTTTCTTGGTGAAAATCTCTTGGCCTGCTTACTGCAGAAAAGGAAAATTGGACTCCTACTGATTTGGATGTTCTACCTGTATAATTTGAATAAAACAAATGACAAAGTGCCCCCTGACAACTCAGCTTATGTGTAGTTGACTACAGTTATCACTCAGTTTCTAGGCTTTGTTTACCATTCTAGATTATTTTTTTCCAGAGAAACTACCAGTGAATTGTACAGAGCAGAGGATGCTGTACAATAGAATTTCTGCACTCTATATGGCCATAAATCAAAATGATACATTGCTAAGACAGCTCCCTGGTTATGATAGAAAGCAGATAGTGGCTGCCTGTCTGGTATGTCACAGCTTGATCTGATCTGTTGCTTTGAACATATCAGTGTGAATGTAAATGGAATTAATTTAAATAATATAAAACTAGAACCTAGAAAGCCTCAGAGAATGTGATTTTATGTTTGCTTTAATGCTTTAAAATTATAAATAACTCCCTCAAGAGGTACGTAGAGGACATTTAAGGGAAGCCTATGGCACAGCCAGATAAAACGGTATCTGGTGCTAGGATATACCTAATTGAGAATTTCATGAAGCACATTATTTGTAGGTGTAGACAATGCTTTCAAACTAGACACATTTAATTAGCACATAACATGAACTACGTAAGTGGCAAGTTAAGCAGCACTGGCCCCTTTGCCAGGCATTTTGAAAGAATTACAGGATTTGGTCATGTGATATTGAATCTAATTGAAGTAGTGTTCTAGGAGGCCCATCATTATGATAAAAATGACTTGCTACTTCAAATAGGGACACTAGAGGAAGCTGTTTTTAGAGGACTCAGTTGTAGTAGGAAATCAGTTTGGTTTAAGACAATGCTTGAACTGAAGACACTGAATAAATAATGACTTCCATTCTTATTAACAACACTAGGATTAACTTTGTACCTTTAGTCAGGAAGGACTATTGGATATATTAATCACTATGGGATATTATGTCTTTAATGTTGAGTTGCAGGAATTCATAAAAAAACAAGCTCAAGGTCGGGCACAGTGGCTCACACCTGTAATACCAGCACTTAGGGAGGCTGAGGAGTGTGGATCACCTGAGGTCAGGAGTTCAAGACAAGACTGGCCAACATGGCAAAACCCCATCTCTACTAAAAATACAAAAATTAGCCAGGCATGGTGGTGGGTGCTTGTAATCCCAGCTACTCGGGAGGCTAAGGCAGGAGAATTGCTTGAACCTGGGAGGTGAAAGTTGCAGTGAGCCGAGATTGTGCCACTGCAGTCCAGCTAGGTGACAAGAGTGAAACCCTGCCAAAAAAAAAAAAAGAAAGAAAGAAAAAGAAAGAAAGATAGAGAAAGAGAGAGAGAAAAAGAAAGAGAGAAAAAGAAAAGGAGAAAGAAAGAAAGAAAGGAGAAAGAAAGAAAGAAGGAAGAAAGAAAGAAAGAAAGAAAGAAAGAAAGAAAGAAAGAAAGAAAGAAAGAAAGAAAGAAAGGAAAGAAAGAAGCTGAAGAAGTAAAATTATGGGAAAAACGTGTTTAGCCTAAGTTATGGCAAGGTTTCACTGAACACTGTGACCTTTAATGTTGCTCCCTGACAGCCCTGGTAATATGGATGAAAAAGAAGTTTATCTCCCATGTGTGGAATTCGTAGAAAGTGGATGAATAAAGAACAATCCTTTGACATATGTAGGCCATGGGGTGTGGATGGGCTCTTTGACATAATGACCCCTGAAAATTAGTGTTTGTACCAACCTGGAATATACCTAAAATACAGTTCATAGAAACAAATTTTTTTCAGAAAATTTGATTTGAGAAGAAAAAATATGTATTCAATTAAATACTCCCATAGGCCCATGGAAAATGATGCAAATAATTGAGGTTGAGGGAGGAAAAAGGTAATTGAGTTTGTGAATGAACATCAAGAGACTTGTAAAGGAAGATGTTAATGAGTAACGTGCTTTGTGGAGGGAATTCCTACTCTCTGTTGGATGGTTCAAATCAAGGTCAGAGTATCAGTTGGCTTAAGTGAAACACTGCAGAAAATGGTGTAAGCCAATAATGATAATACACCAGCAATATTTGGCACTAAGATGTTGACCAAGGCCAGAGCAGACTGGGAAGGAAAGGGTCTTTGATTCTTTCTGATTACTGAGATGCCCTGCCAGGATCCACAGAAGGAAGGAAGCCCATTTTGCTTATATAAACATACTAATGACAGCTCCTGACAAACAATTTGTTTTTTTGCTAGCAGGAGAGTGATCATCTATCACAGAAATGCTTTTAGCAGAATGTACTTGGTCGTTTAGAATTGCTTATGGTTAACAAAGTAGAAGGTTGTGGATTTATGGGGCTCCCTGGAAAATGTCACATATACCACATATGTAACTATCTGCATAAAAATTAAGATATTTGATAATTGAGACAGTTATCTCCATGTAAATAAATTGTCGGCATACCTCTCTAGAAGTCTCATCTTTCTGCCTGGGCAAGGGAGTATCTAATGATAGAACCCAGGATCTAAAGAATCAGATTAAGAGATCTAAATAATTCTCTGATTTGCCCATGCCTAATGATTACCTGAGTTCGTGAAATTACTAGTAAAGCTTTATTTTGTGAGATCTTAGATTCCGATAAGTCTAATGTCACAATCAAATCAGTTTTTCCTATCTCAAGAAATCATGTCCATATAATGGAATTAATCCAGAAACTCTGAAAAGTTTTAATATTCTGGGGTCAGGGTAGATGAGAAGGAGTCTCCGTATGACTTATAAACATGTAAGGAGAAATAGTAAAATTGTTGTAAAATTAAAAGAAGAACAGAAATTCATAAAATAAGCTATAACAATCAGGTTAAACAACAAAAACAAAAAGCAAAGCATCTATCAGTAACATGATTGAATAGAAGAGCCGAGAGAGAGTTGTCAGTGGTAAAGGAATAAATATTATCTCATTTGATAGAGTGATTGTATTAGTCCATTTTAACACTGCTGATAAAGACATACCCACGACCAGACAACTTACAAAAGAAAAAGGTTTATTGGACATACAGTTCCGCATGGCTGGGGAGGACTCACAATCATGGCAAAAAGGAGCAAGACACATCTTATGTGGGTGGCAGCAGGCAAAAAAAGAGCTTGTGCAGAGACAATCCTGTTTTTAACACCATTAGATCTTGTGAGACCCATTCACTATTATGAGAACAGCATGGGAAAGACCTGCCCCCATGATTCAGTCTTCTCCAATCAGGTCCCTCCCACTACATATAGAAATTATGGGAGCTACAAGATGAGATTTGGATGGGGACACAGAGCCAAACCATATCATTTCACTCCAGCCCCTCCCGAATCTCATATCTTCATGTTTCAAAACCAGTCATGCCTTCCCAACAGTCCCCCAAAGTGTCAACTCTTTTTAGCATTAACTCAAAAGTCCACAGTCCAAAGTTTCATCTGAGACAAGGCAAGTCCCTTCCACCTATGAGCCTGTAAAATCAAAATCAAGTTAGTTACTTCCTAGATACAATGCGGTTACAGGGGTAAAGGGATTGGGTAAACACAGCCATTGCAAATGGGAGAAATTGGCCAAAACAAAGAGGCTACAAGCCCCATGCAAGTCTGAAATCCAGAAGGGCAGTCAAATCTAAAGCTCCTTTGACTCCATGTCTCACATCTAGGTCATGCTGATGCAGGAGGTGGATACCCATGGTCTTGGGCAGTTCCACCCCTCTGGCTCTGCAGGGTACAGTCTCCCTCCTGGCTGCCTTCACGGGCTGGTGTTAAGTGTCTGCAGCTTTTCCATGCACACAGTGCAAGCTGTCAGTGGATCTACACTTCTGGGGTCTGGAAGACGGTGGCCCTCTTCTCACAGCCCCACTAGGTGGTGCCCCAGTAGGGATTCTGTGTGTGGGCTCCCTCCCCACATTATCCTTCTGCACTGCCCTAGCAGAGGTTCTCTATGAGGACCCCACCCATATGGCAAACTCCTGCCTCGGCATTCAGGCGTTTCCATACATCTTCTGAAATCTAGGCAGAGGTTCCCAAACCTCAATTCTTGACTTCTGTGCACTCATAGGCTCAACACCACATGGAAGATGCCAAGGCTTGGGGCTTGCACCCTCTGAAGCCATAGCCTGAGCTCTATGTTGTCCCCTTTCAGCCATAGCTAGAGTTGCTGTGATGCAGGGGATGAAGTCCCTAGGCTGCACACAGCAAAGGAACCCTGGGCCCAGCCCACAAAACCGCTTCTTCCTCCTAGGTCTCTGTGCCTGTGATGGGAGAGGCTGAGGTAAAGACCTTTGACATGTCCTGGAGACATTTTCCCCATTATCTTATGCAAATGTCTGTAGCTGGCTTGGATTTCTCCTCAGAAAATGGGATTTTCTTTTCTATTGCATTGTCAGGCTGCAAATTTTCCAAATTTTTATGCTCTGCTTGCCTTATAAAACTGAATGCTTTCAACAGCACCGAAGTCACATCGTAAGTGCTTTCCTGCTTAGAAATTTCTTCTGCCAGATACCCTAAATCATGTCTCTCAAGTTCAAAGTTCTACAAATCTATAGGGCCGGGCAAAATGCCACCAGTGTGTTTGCAAGACTCACCTTTACTCCGGTTCCCAACAAGTTCCTTATCACCAGCTGAGACCACCTAGCCTGGATTTCATCGTCCATATCACTGTCAGCATTTTGTTCAAAGCCATTCAGCAAGTCTCTAGGAAGTTCCAAACTTGGCCACATTTTCCTGTCTTCTTCTGAGTCCTCCAAACTGTTCCAACCTCTGCCTGTTACCCAGTTCCAACGTCGCTTCCACATTTTTGGATATGTTTTCACCAGCACCCCACTCTACTGTAACAATTTACTGTATTAGTTCATTTTCATGCTGCTGATAAAAACATACCTGCAACTGGGCAATTTACAAAAGAAAGTGGTTTGTTGGACTTACAGTTCCACATGGCTGGAGAGGCATCATAATCATGGTGGAAGGCAAGAAAGAGCAAGCTACATCTTACATAGACGGCAGCAGGCAAAAAAAGACATTGTTCAGAGAAACTCCCATTTTTAACACCGTCAGATCTCGTGAGACCCATTCACTATCACGGCAACAGCATGGGACAGACCTGCCCTCATGATTCAGTCATCTCCCACTGGGTCCCTCCCACAACACGTGGAAATTATGGGAGCTACAAAATGAGATTTGGGTGAAGACACAGAACCAACCCATATCAGTGATTATTTAAGATTTTTTGGAGAAGCCTAACTGTTCAAGGAAGGTGTGTGATGGCAAAGAATAAAAGCTACAGATAATGACATGGCATCAGCTTGATTGGATCCATATTTTGTGGGATCTACAGCACATTCAATTTGGAGGTCAGGGTTTGGGGCTCGTCAAGCAAGAATACAAAACTACAAACTCAAAACTGGAAACTCAAATGCAAATGAGGTGGCCAGAAATGTAAGCCTCATAACTTAGGATAACAGAACAAAAGCTGATAAACATTTTCTATAAAGGGCACAATAGTAGATACTTTAGGCTTGCAGGCCATATTGTTTGTGTTGTAAATATGCAACTTTGCCTTTGTAGTGCTTAAGCAGCTGTAGGCAATATGTAAAGGAATGTCTGTGGCTGAGTTCCTATAAAATTTTATTTATAAAAACCCATGGCAGCCTGGCTTTGGCTCATTGGCTATAGTTTGCCTACCCCTGGCTTAATAAATCTGCCTCTATTCATAAGTAAGATTCTGCTTGTGTTTTGACTTTGCCGTGTGCTCAAGGAAGGTAAGTAAAATTAAAATGTCTAGGAGAAGAAAGTGTAAATAACAACAAATTCCTGTTGGCAACGTATTTATGAATATGGAAGAAGAGATGCCCTCTTATCCTGTGAGATGGAAAGAAAAAAAGCCAAGAACAAATACAAATTAAAGCAAGCAAGTCTAAAATAAGAGAATTAACATTATTCTGGGAAGTAGAAGACAAAGTACTTCTGCTAGGAATGGGAAGACCAAATACGGACTGGAGTATTTGAAAACTCGGTGGATATTTGGAATATCTGTTGTGGACAAAAAAGAGAGAGAGAAAATAAACAGATCAAAAAGTCAAATAATTTGAAGTGATTATAGGGAAAAGTGATCTGGACACACAGTTTGTGTCATTCACAAAAGCATCTGACCAAGAGAGTAAACTCTGTGCCCTGCAGTCAAAAGTTACTATTAAAATTTCATCATTCAGATTCAGGGCTTATTTCTAGTTGATACAAAAGTGGCATCTTGCCCTACATAATGTTATACTTTTTGTTATTCAGAAATGTTGAAGTTTCTATGCATGAGGTTTTTGGTTATTTGACATAATGATTTATTTCACTCATTGTGTTTATCTTATCCAGATTAGATAGAAATTAACCAATTTTAACTTTCTGTCTGTTCTGTATGTTTTAGTAACAAGTAATTCAGGAGTGCATGCAAATGCAACATTAAATGAACAGATGATAAAATAGAGTATATTTGCATAAATATAAAGACTTTTCATATGTTATAATAAACAGTATCAAAAACATTATTTGTCTTAAACTGTTTAAAAAATGCCAATATAAGTCATTTTTAACCTAGTATCAAAATCGTAATCATGTGAAAAGTAAATATTTCTTTAAGTTTTGTAAAATATTTGATGTAGAATATTTTGCTCCAAATTAATTAGGAGAATTTCATAGTGTCTTATAATTAAGCTGCCCTTAAATACGCCTGAACCTTCATGCAAACGTCTGTGGTTATTTGTCTCCACATGTTTCAGCAGATGAGGTGATTTGAATTCAGCAAAAAATTTAATAGCTTAAGTTGAAACAGGAATTATCCTAAGGGAATCTGTAGAAATGCATTCAAGAGCAGACGAGCTATATCTATTTCTTTCATGCTTTGGTGTAGTAAGTAATTGTTCATAGCCAAACACTTTACGAAGATAAATGATTGATATAATGAATGACCCGAAGATGCCCAAGAGCACATGAAAACAGAAATGCCTTTGTTCTGAAGGAGAATGTCTTAGTATAGTTATAAATTGAATGTAAAAATTGTGGCTGAAATTATTCTAAAAATCACAAGAAGCTGCATTTAAACTGTGCTATGGCATCTATTCAAAAGATTGGAAACCATTTGTTTTCTGAATTGCACCCAACATAAAGCTTTCTCACACAGAACAAAACAGAAGTGAGCATCAGTCACACTTCCAACATGCATACATTTTGTTCTAAAGGAACAGCTGTTACTTGATGAAAAGTCGATGAAAGATGCCCAGCATTTGTTTTTAAAAAGTTATCACCCAAACAAGAATTGTTTGGAACCAGATGCTAAAATTGAGAGTGGTCTGTTTATTTCAGTTGAGAGTGTTATAAAAATGTTAATAAGGTATTTTTATGTCTATTACCCAGCTATATTTGACTTTTTAATGTGCTTTTTGTTATAATCGGCTGTTGTTTCTATAGGCTGGCATTATTGGCATTAGATCACTGAAGAGTAAATAAAGTGAGCAAGAATACTCTCTTGTCACCAGATTACTGAGGTGTACTGGAGATAGGTTGAATGGTTTTACAGATGAATTACAGTGAAAACTTTGAAACACTAATAATCTCTTCTGTGTTGAGAAATAACCTACTAATCATTAACTTAATAATTATCAGCTCAGCCAGGAAACTACACCACCTAAAAGGTAGTTAATTTTATCACTCCTAGACATCTACAGGAGACCATGATTCTCCATTATGTGAATGCCTTGCTGCCCATGTGATGCCTGCCCCCATCAATTCTAAGAAGCTTCAGTCATTTAGTACTTTATATGTAATTTTTAAAAATTACATAAGTAATACCTTCTTCTTATAGAGAACTGAGACTTTCAGAAACAGTTAAAGCCTAATTTGAATATTGCCAAAGCCCTGTCTCTTCTTCAGAGACAACCAGTGTTTCCAGTTTGGTGTGTATTTTTCCCAAATACAGTGAATGCGTGTATAAACACGTGTAGATTTACCTGTCCTAGATATGAGCATTTGCTTTGTGAGTCTGCTTTAAGTCAAGTTCTAAGCTATGGCTCAGTTTAAAACTTCTCTTTTTCTATTTAATAATATACCTTAGAAGTCATGCCATGATATTAAGATGAATAATAATGAAATTATTAATATTAGTCAAATTTAATTAGTTGCTTATTACGTAGTGGGTACTTGGTGTGATACATGGATTATCTCATTTAATCATCATGACAAGCTAATAAATTGGCAATGCTATTATCTCCACTTTACAGAAGAGAAAAAAGATTGTAAGTACTTTGCTCAAGGTCATTTACAGGGAGAGCAAATTATTCAAATCCAGATATTCTGCTCTCAGAGATTGTATTATTAACTATTATGCCACAATAGAGGCATTGTAGTCTGCATGATAGTCCAACTATTTTTATTTGTAGTTATATACTGATGAATATTTAGAGTTTTTTTTTAAAATTACAACACAATACTGCAATTGACATTCTCGCATGATTATCTACCATATATTTCCAAAAGTGGAAAGGCAGACATATGTGTTTAGTTTTTACAGGATGTAGACTATATAACAATTGTACTCCAAAGGAGATCTTGGTTATACATTTATACCAGCATAGTTTGAGCCTACCCTCTTCCCTGTACCCTCAAAACCCTTGTTAACATCTTATGTTTTGCCAATCTGCTGAAGAAAAAATGGTATCCAATTGTTTAATTCAATTACTTGATTACTAGTGAAGTAAGAATTTTTTTATATTTATCATAATTTGTATTGCCTCTAATCTGAAAGGGTTATTCATATTTTTTGCCTACTTTTCTATTAAGTCATGTCTCTCTAAGATCTAGCTTAAACATTACTTTTTCCAAAAAATCTTCCCTGATCTCCCACAACTGAAAACATTATCTTCCTACTTTAGTTTCTTACAATATTTTATCTATATCTCTCTTATAACACCACTTTCTACTTTGTATAATTGTTATTTTAGTACTATCTAATCAGTCCTTTAATTTCCTTTGGGGACTATTTTATGCTGATTAATCCTTATGACACATATTATCCACATTTTTTGGACAAAATTCTTCAATGAAGATAGATAATTAAAATTAATAAAAATTAAAATAATTAAAAATTTAATTAACTTAGCTTTTAATTTTTTAATTATCATGTAGGCCACCTACTGAGATATACAATTTTTGGTCTAAAGTATTACTTTGAAACAATTATAAGGAAACTAGAAAAAAAAATTTTACTATTCTAAGATACTTCAGATTGGAAAGTTTCTTGTTCTATATAACAAGATTTACTCTTTCCATATATTCTAGGATAAATTCATCATCTCTCTAAAAACTTTCCTAATTTTTGTCATTCAGAAAAATAGCCAATTCCTGTCCTTCATTAAATTTTAATGAATAATCAGTCAATTTTAAAACTCCTGAAAAATTCATATTAAAAAAGAAACATTTATATTATTAAAAAAAATAATTACAAAATGCCCATATAAATATTATTTAGGGCCAGGCACACTGGCTCACACCTGTAATCCCAGAACTTTGGGAGGCTGAGGTGGGCAAATCACTGGAGCCCAGGGTTTGAGACCAGCCTGGGCAACATGACAAAACCCTGTCTCTACAAAAATTTTAAATATTAATCAGATGTGGTGGTGTGCGCCTATAATCCCAGCTACTCAGGATGTTGAGGTGGGAGTGACAGGGATGGGGGGTGGGGAAATTCTGGGCAAAAGAGGGCAGGTCCCTGGCAAGGGCTCCACCCTCAAGCCTGGAACCACAGCCCAAAGTGAGAACATACATTCCTGTTTTCCCACTCAAATGTTGCCTTTTACAAAGTTACTCATGACCTCCCCTGTCCCCCATCCTGTGCCCATAAAAACCCCAGACTCAGCTAGCAAAAAAGAGAAGCAGCTGAACATCAAAAGAGAAGCAGCAGCTGGGCATCAGAGACTACGGTTGGACGTTGGAGAGAAGCAGCTTGATTTCAGAGAGACAGCTTGACAGTGCAACTTTGGAAAAGAGTCCAGCCAGAAACCTTCCTGCTACATCTCCTTCCCAGCTGCCCTTCCTGCTGAGAGCCACTTTCCTTGGCAATAAAATCCTCTGCATTTATCATCCTTCAATTCGTTCCTGTAAGCTGATTTTTCCTGGATGCCAAACAAGAGCTTGGGAGTGAGTGTGGATACAAAAAGGCATGCTGAGCTGCTAACACTTCAGCTGTCTGAAGATGGCAGAGCTAAAGGAGCACTGTAATATGCCCACTGGGGTTTCAGGAATCACAGGCACCCCCTCAAACCCAGGTGCTGCTATGGGGCCCACATGGAGTTTGCTCCTGCCAACACCCCAAAGCTCTCTTCCTGGCTCCTGTACCTGCTCACCTGCATGCTCTCTCCTGCAAGGTGTGGAACACAGCAGGTCAGAGTGGGTGAGTTCACTCCTTCTGGCACCAAAGAGGCCACTGGTTCCAGCACTCATGTACTCCAGTTCCTGCCTTGTTCAGTTGTGCATTCCCTCCCTCGAGGAGTTGAGAGCAGTGGGCTGAGTAAATGGGGCACCCCTGTCACGAGTCCCATGAAGGGGTCAGGGAAATGCCCTGCTTCAGGAGGATCTCTTGAGCCCAGGAGGTGAAGGATGCAGTGAGCCAAGATCGTGCAACTGAACTCTGGCCTGGGTGACAGAGTGAGACTCTGTCTCAAAATAAATAAATAAATAATTTAATTAATTAAATTTAGCTTATTCTTTTGAACATCGTTCTTCATAGTGTTATAAAATACATGATTTAAGACAGTGAGAAACAGAGATAAGCCAATGATGGATTTCTAATAGAATTCAGAGTGGGACTTGTTTGAACATTTCAACCAAATAACAAAAGATTCCTGCAATTAGTTGACTCTTCAGTCTACCTCAGTTTTAAACATGTCTCAGGTTGCCCTTAACAAACGAGTATAGTTTACTTTGGGCTGATAAATTCTGTGGATGGCAAGAGGTTGTGAATATCCCTTTATAAACCCAGAACTAATGCTACATATCCCTGGCATTAGTGCCTTATTTATCTAAACTTACAAATGTATTGGGCAAAATTCCGGGATATGGGCACAGAATTAATAACTGAATACCTTATTTTGTATGGTCATTTGCTCACTGACAAAGATAGAGAAGCAGCTGAAATTCATGATTATGATCCCTAGTTACATCTCTCTTTAAGTCCTTATGTTTGATTCCCTGGGAGTTTCAGCACATTTATATAGCAGCACCCAAGTTTTTATAATCTGTTAAGTATTACTACCCAGGATTAGCTACTGAAGAATCAAGAACCAGTAGTTGATGAACTTGAAAGACAATTATTCTATATAGTGTTTCTTGAGGACACTAATTTCTTGAGATAGAATGAGAGGAAAACATAATATCCACAAACAGAAATAAATTTTGGAATATTATATGCTTTAGCTTCCTCTTGGATATTTACAAAAATATTAGCATATTGACAGTTACAGAATGAAGAAACCTTTTTAGCTACATTTAAACTAGTGCTAGAGTTTGAATATATTTCCTCCAAATTCATGTTTAAGTTTAATCCTCTAAGTGATGAGGAAGTGGGGCCTCTGGAGGCAATTAAGTTATGATGGCTGTGCACTCATGAATGAGATTAATATCCTAATAGAGGAAGCTTCTCTGAGAGCTTCCTGGCTCTTCCATTTCTTCTGCCATGTGACAACATGGCATTTGTCCATTTTGTCCCTTTGCTTTTCCTACCCTGTGATTAAGTCATGCAAAATGACATCTATGAAACAGGCCCTCATCAGACAATGAATATGTTGGTGCCATAATCTTGAGCTTCCCAACTCCTGGAACTTTCAGAAATGCATCTCTGTAATCATAAATTACCCAGTCTGTGGTATTTGTTATAAGACCAGGAACAGACTAAAATAGCAAATGCTTTCCCCCATCCCTGACTACTTTCAGAATGTTTAAGAGTTGTCCATACAGTTTCTTATGGCAATTATGAGGCAGATATTTTTCAGGAAAGTGGCATGCATATATGTGAATTTTTTTAGAGGAGTTGAAAAGCAAAACAAAACACTTGTTTGGCAATGTTCATTCCTCATAGAATCAGTGCTATTCACTTTGGAAAATATCTTGGTATCCTGCTTGTTGCCTTATTAGTTGTTTTTCTCTCATTGCAATCAGCTATTGCCATGTACCTTTTGCATTTGGTGGTCAGGGTCTTCGGAATCGCATGAATCTGATATCAAATCCCAGTTGTATTGCTGATTAGCTGTGAAAAAAGATTTTAAACTTATTATTTTCAGTTTACTCATTTATTAAGTACCAATATTAATATTGAAACTGGAGAAATAGATTAAATGGCATACTGAATGAAAATAAGCTTATATAGTAATTGTTACATAGGAAAACTCTCAATAAATCAATGCTGTTATTATTACCATTAATATTCCCTAGATGTGAAGATTGCCTTCAGAGGAAACATACTAGAGAAAAAAAAATGAGTTTTACAGAAGTTTTTCAGCAGAAGTTGATTGGTTTTACACACACACATATACACGCACACATATTTACACACATAAATATGTATATTTTATATATATATATGCACACACGTTTCTATTTAAAATGAAAAAAGTACGTTAGTCATGTGTGCCCAATTTTCTGATACACTAAAAAATGGAAATATCTTGGCAGACACTATTGATAGGCTATGCAAATGTGAACTTCTCTTGCCTAGTTTTTTATTTGGAAAGTAAAATATCCATGTTTCTTGGTGTGGCCATGTGAATTTTGTGACATTGAAATGGATATCATAAGATAGGCTCCTAGGAAAGCGTTTAAAAACGCACAAACTTGGCCTGCATGGCTTTGGTCTTTTGCCCCTTTGCCCTTTGCTGCTTCAGTCTTTCCTATTTTTCTTGGCTGCAATATGAGCAATCATGTCTCAGGGTGCTACAGGCATCATGCTATCTTATATCATACCTCTTTCTAAGGAAATGCTATTAATGTCCCTGCATGTGTATAACAAATCTTCAGCGTCCCTGTGTGGCTGCTCTTCTTATCCTGTCCTGGTTTGTACTCTTTCTTTTGTAGAAGTAAGTAAACAACTTGCCTGTGAAAACTGCTTTTAATTGCACCGTGTATTCCTTATAGCTAAACCCTATCTACCTGAAACCTATATTGATACTTATGCCATATATTTAGTTTGGAGATCAGATTAAATTTAGAGTTCCATTAATTCCATAATAAATATTTTTGAGTGGCTAGTATGGGTAATATGATATTTTAGCTACTGGTATAATGTGGTGAACTGAAGATATGACTTGAAATGTTTGTAACTTATATGATAATAAGTGGAGAGAGCTGAAAATTAGGTAAATAAATAGATAACCACAGATTTTGATCTGTTATACAAATACGATAAATATAGCAGAAAGGACTGTAAGCTAAGGAGTAGAGTAAGAGAAAGCAATTATAAAAAGATTGGCAACTAAATGTTATCTAACAAGTGATACTTAAAGGCTGAGATACTTTAAACTATAAGACAGTTTTGTAAAAATCTTGGAAACTGTGTTTTTTAAGTTAATGGTGCAATTTATCTACTGTGTAAATACAAGTGCTGGTTTGTTGAAGGAGCAGGAAAAAAAAGCAGATTAGTTTGAGTATGGGGAAAGAGAAGGAGATTGGGGAAAGAGAAGGAGATTGGAGAGAGGTTGACGAACTAAGCATATGCCAGTTTATATAGAGTTTATGTAACAAAGAAGAGATTTTTTGTGCATCAAGTTGTATTGCTGCGTAATACTATACCCCAAACTTACTGGTATAAAATAGTAAACTTGTATTATGCTCACAGGTTCTGTGGGTCAGGAATTTAGAAACAGGCACAATGGGCATGCCCCTTTTCTGCACCTCAATGATGAGGCCTCAGCTGGGAAGATTTACATGTCTGGATGCAACTCAAATAGCTGAGGGCTAGGACAGCTGGGACTGGAGTGTCCACTTCCAAAATTGCTTTTTATGCCCGTATCTGGCACTTGGCCTTGTGTATTTGAAGCTGGGAGTGAACTGGGATTGTCAACCAGAACTCCTATTCATGGTCTATCCTCATGGCTTGGGTTTCTCCCAGCCTGGCAATACTGGGGCCTTCCTGAGATGGAGGATTCTGAAAAACAGTGAGCAGAAGTCAGATTGTCAATCTAGGCCACGTCTCAAAAGTTACACAGCATTGCTTTTTTTGGTATTCTCTTAGTCAAAGAAGTTAAAAGTCCTCCCAGATTCAAGGTCAGAGACCCCAGTCCCCACATCTCGATGAAATGACAGTTGAAGAACTCTGAGGAGATATTTTATAACCATTACATTATATCAAATGAAAAAAGGTGATTTTTTATGTCATTTAATTTGTCCCACAATATTGACTTTTTACTCTTCTCCATGTCCTGATACTCATAATCTTCATCAATTTTCTCCATTAAACTCCATCTTTCAGGGACACTTCTAATACATTATTTTATACTAAATTGTAAACTAGAATTAATTTTTGAAGTATTGCCACTTGCAGGGGGATGTATATTTAATTTACAGAATTATAAATCT
Source organism: Homo sapiens (assembly GCF_000001405.40). Lineage (NCBI taxonomy): Eukaryota > Metazoa > Chordata > Mammalia > Primates > Hominidae > Homo > Homo sapiens. Next base: position 131,828,185 of record NC_000004.12, on the reverse strand, counting down.
AGACAATAATGAACATTGTTAGGATTTTCTATCAGAATTATTTTAATTAATAAATGTTACCTTTAAATTTTTTTTAATCATCCTTTTTTAAGCATTTATTCAGTCGGGACTTTCAGTTCATGTACTTTCCTCTAAATTAAAATCAGATATCATTTGTAGAATTTTATGCAACGACTAAGATGGTTTTTTGGGAGATGATATTCATTACCAAATTTTCTGAAAATATGTAGTATTTCCATTATACCATGATTTCTTATATTACAATAGATTTTTTAAAAAATTTCAATAACATTAAAAGTATTTCTAAATACATCTTAATTTAAAGTAGTTAATTTTAAAATATTTAGTCATTTACTTATAGAATTTAATTTAAATTACCGAGGTGTGTGCATGAGATCAAAAATTATTCTACATTTGCAGTATTTCACAGTGTTTTGTTTTATTTATAATTCGTGTTCCTTCTATGTGTGGAAAAAAAAATAAGGCTTGTCATGTTCATAACAAAATGCTAAAACCTTTAAGAAAGAATGGAAACTACAACAGAATATTTCTAATTTCAGTTGTATTCCATGTCTGCCATTATACAGATTGTTTAGAGAATCTCCCAAATTACATTCTACATAAAAAGAAATTGAATGTCAGTGTATCAAACAGAACCATTTTAAACAGTCATGCAAGATGGAGAGAGGAGGTATAATAATGCGGGCCCTGAAATGTTACGGTATGATAGAGTCATAGTTTTATGATAGTTTTTTTCACTTTAATTTCCAGGAACAATCATGAAGTTTAAGAAGAAAGAATACTATCAGAAAAGAGGCAATTTTTTTTATATTTAAAAAGTTCCCATTTTCCAGTCTATTCATTTTTATGCATCAACTCTCATTTTATGTTGACAATTTCATAATAACTATATTTACCTTTATTTTTATCCATATGCATTTCATTTAAAAGTGAAAACTTCAACTCAAAATGTAAAAAGAACTTGCCTCCAAAGAGCTCTACTACTCTGTCTTTCCTATTTCATCCAATGTTACGACTACAATTCCCATCTGTCAAACACAGCAGAGTCAATTGGTAAGTCATTGATGTTTCTTTTTATATTATTTTTCATGAAGTTTCTTTATTTTCCAGTTCTGTTGTATGTCACCTCAAATATCCATACAACACATTATTTTAATCTCCTTCCCTCTAAGCATTCCTGTTCCACTTAATCTAACACAATGTTCTCAAAGATATGACAAACTGCAACTCTTAAAAAACCTTCAGACTTTCCACTGAACTGAACAGAATTAGAATAGATGATTATTTCAGTCATGTGTTGGTATATAACAAAATACCCCCATCACCTATTCTTCCTCCTCTTAAAGTCAATGTATTATTAAAACGTCCAACTTCCTTTTATGAAATATTTCACACATGCCCAAAACTGAAAAATAATTGATACAGCAACATAACCAGAAACAAGATTATAAGAAATTCTACAAGGGATAACTACAGGCTAAAATTGTTTAGCATCCCCTTGTATATTTCTCTATTTTTAAGTACAGGTCTGTGTATAGAATATTTTATACAGCATATGGTAGTGTTTGTATCTTCAAATTTAAATAAGATGTTATTGTTTTCTCTGTATTATTTCAACACATGCTTTATAATCTCACTATGATATTTTTGAGATCCATTCCAGCTGATACTTGGGTATCTGTTTTTGTTTAATTTCTATATGGGATTTCATTATATATATAATATAAAGCTATCAATTTTCATATCAGGAAATACTGGCATTTTTATATTTACCATTGTAAATGTTAAAAACAAAGCTACAATAAATATTTATGGTTTTGTTGTTTATATATATTAGAATTTTCATAGGATAGACATAGAGCAGGGAAATTTTACAATTTTGGGCACTTTCATCCTTACATTGTCAAGCAGTTTTCCAAAGTCGTTGTATGAATTTATCTTCCCACTATACAATTGTTAGAGTTCCTGTTTTCTAATAGCCTCATCAAAGAGGAAAATTTCTCAAGTATTAAGCAGTAAAGTAAAAAAAAAAGTCATCATTCTACAAATTCAATTTTACTAAATAAAATATATTTTATATTTTCTTTAAAAGTGATACAAGATGTCTTTCACATTTGAAGTTAATGTGATGTTAGAATACAATTTACAATTTTTCTATATGTTAATCAAATGTGTCACTGCTATTTTATGAATAGTTATTCATTTTTCTGGGTGATATGACAATTCATATGTAAAATATCGAAAGTCTTCCATGAATTTTTGAATTTCCTGCTATAGTCCAGTGAACAAATTGTTCATCTCTGAGTCAATGCCACACTAACATAATGACTATAATTCATAATCAATTCTTATTGAATATCTGCTCAGTGCCAGTATATGAGTTTGCTGGATCTGTTATAACAAATTACCACAAACGTAAACGTTTAAAGCAACAGAAATATATTCTCTTAGAGTTCTGTAGGGCAGAAATCTGAAATCAAGGTATAGGTAGGCCCACTTTCCTTCTCAAGTTTTTATGGGTGGATCCTACTTTACTTCTTTCAGCTGCTGGTGGCTCAAGGCGTTCTTTTGTTTGTAGCTGCATAACTCCAAGCTCTGCTTTCATCCTCAAATAGCCGTCTTCTCTTTTCTGTATCTTCTCCTCTTCTGTCTTTCATAAGAACACTTATTGGATTTAGGGTGCACTAGGATCATCCAGTATGATGTCATCTCAAGATCCTTATTAATATATACAAAAAAATTAGGTCACCTCTACAATTTCTGTGGGCTAGCATATGGAAAGATATGTGCATATTTATCATATTTTGGGAGGCACCATTGAATCTACTAGAGACAAACATCTACATTTAGGATATTAAAGAAAAAAATCCTTGCCTCCGTAAAGATTACAGTCAGATATAGGATGACACAAAAGAAATAAAATATAGACAGGTGTTGAAAAGTTATATATTTTGTGAAGAAAATAAAGTAAGGAAGGATACACAGTAATAGCGGCAGATTACAATTTTAATTAATGTATTCAGTAAGTAACATTGTAAAAATAGCATTGAAATAAACACATCAAAAGGCTGAGGGAAGAAAAAGAATACAGTTTTTCTCTACATCCCAAATTACTTCTGATTGAATGTTTTTACTGGGATCTGTTTCTGGGAGAGACTAAGAGAGTGACTAACTTTGGATAGATTCTGAAGGTAAAGCAAGCAGCAAGACTCGCTGAAAGGTTAGATGTACAATTCTTGAAAAAGAAAATAAGTAGGATTGACTCTAAGATTTTTGCTCTGAGACAAATTGTCGTATGTGAGAATGTGCATTTCAAAGTTGAGATGTTTATTAGCTTCTCAAAAGAAGACAGTATAAGAAGTTGGATGTAAGAGCCTGGCATTTAGAAGAGAAGTAAGAGGCAGAGGTACAAATTTGCAAGTTCTTAGCATAAACAATATTGTAAACCATGGCTCTGTGAGAACTCATCAAGGGAGTGGGGGTGGACACAGAAGTGTTCCAAAGACTAAGAAATAGCATACAAAGACATAAGAAGAAAGCCAAGAGGACATGTGTTCTGGAAGCCAAAGAAAAAAAGCTGGTTTTGTTTGTTTGTTTGTTTATGTGTTTTTGTTTGTTTGTTTTTTAATTAAAGAAAAAGAGACTACTGATAGATCAATAAAATGAGAATAAAAAATTAACCTTTATATTTTGGAACATGAAAATAATTAGCGATTTGAAAGGAACATTTAATTGAAATGGTCAATACTTTTCTAGTATTTTAATTGTAACTCATGCCTCACTTTGTTACCCAGGTTGGACTGGACTCCTGGCCTCACATTTTTAAATAATTAATGCTTATTTAGATTTACCCTTACATTTAACAGGTTTACAGTTGCCACTTGCTTCTCACACTTGTCTTTTTTAGTGTTTTCTTTTTTCTTTCTTTGTTACTTTAAAAACAGTTGTTCAATGAATCCATGAGTGTGCTTTCTTAAAATTTTGTAGACCCAAAAAGTCTCAGTGCTGTGTATAGTATTCTATCTTGCACTGTATATTTTGGATTTGGAACTTGGTATGCCCATTGCATTATTGTATTAGTTTTTCAGTGAACAAATTTCTTTTTAAAATATTCACCAAATCAGTGTTCTTTCTAGTTTGGATTTATTTTTATCAATTCTGTTCAGAAATTGTCCAATTCCTGAATGTGAAAATTTTTTTCTTTAATGACTTATAGAAAATTTCCAGTTATTACCTCTAGATATTGCCTCAATATTACCTTAAATGCACCCAAATTATCTAATATAATAATATTTTTTGTCCATCTTGCTCTATATTGATAACTTTATTTCTCTGTGATATATATTTATTGTATTAATTTTAATCATCCATATCTCATAGGTTTTTAAATTCAATTACTTTATTTTTATTTTTGGATATCCTTTGCCAAATCTGCCCTTCATTTCTTTTTAAATGTCTTTAGTGTTTATATATGTTCATTACATATTATTAATTTTATAATTTTTTCAAATTATTCATCTATTTTTACACATACTTTTAATTCTGCTGTTTTACATCTGCTGACTCTTATTGCTGGTATTTTTTCTTTTTTTGAGACAGAGTCTCACTCTGTTGCCCAAGCTGGGTTGCAATGGTGCAATATCAGCTCACTGCAACTTCCACCTCCCAGGTTCAAGCAATTCTGCTGTTTCAGCCTCCAAATATCTGGGATTATAGGTGCCTGCCACCATGCCTGGGTAATTTTTTGTATTTTTAGTAGAGACGGAGTTTTGCCATGTTGGCCTGGCTGGTCTCGAACTCCTGAACTCAGGTGATCCACCCGCCTCAGCCTCCGAAATTGTTGGGATTACGGGTGTGAGCCACCGCGCCTGGCATGTATATTATTTTTCATTGTGTACTTTGTAATTTTTGTTTGTGAATTTATTTTTAATATAGTTTTCGATTTAACTTGTTAGTTTCTGTAGTGGCAAATCCTTGTGTTTGCAATATTGGATTATTTCTCCATAAGAGTTTCTCATTTCTTCTGCTAGGAAATCCGTGGGAAATATTGGAATTGGGCTAGTTTTTATTTTATTTCTAATGTTTAAAGTTTCTGAAAAATATTGGCATTATAAAATTCTACTTCAATCCTGAGTAAAGAATAAAGTGCTAGTGACAAATTCCCAGTTGTGTTTTCCTTTCTTAGTATTTGAGAGCCATAGCAAATGTTGCATACCCTTTGATGTTAAGCAGAAACTTTTGTCTAGACATTGACTTCGGGCTTTAAAATACGTAGTATCTCCCCCGGATTAAAGGTAACTAGTCCCTGATTTCTATTAAAATATAATTTTTAGAAGCTTAAAATCATAGCTCTCAGACAAATATAAAATGAATAGGTTTTAAAGATATTAATTTGAATTAATAAATAACAAATAGATGTTTTAAATGACACAAAGGGAATCTGAGAAACTGGGACATTTAGAAGCAATTTAGCAAAATAACGTTAAGATTGCTTGGTTAAATAAATAAATATAGATTGATATATAACAGGGTCATAAATCTGTGAGGTTATCTCTTCTACTAAGGAGATATATTTGTATCTTTACAGGAAAAAAAAATTCATGGTGCAAAATCCCTTTACTAAATCTGGTACCTTTAATTATTATTGTATAGCACTTAAGTATAGGAACTTGAATATAGCCAATATATTCCTAAAGATCTCCTAAATTACTCTCCAAATAAAATGTTTTTTGTACATAATTTTTCTGTTCCCATTAATTATCATTCACAGTTTTATTTTGTTTTGATTTTTTCTTTTGTTCCTCCCCCCTCCCCTTGGCATTCAGTTAATTCTTCTATTTTCTTTCCCAAACAGGCACGTTATAATTAAATGTAATGGTTGGCTGAATCATAACCACATTTAAATATTGCTCTGTTTTGCTATTTGTTTTTTTCCTTCTTTCTTTCCTTTCTTCGTTCTTGCTTTTCTTGGCAAGCTTATGAAGTTTTATTTGTGTAACTGCTACACAAAGAAACTTCATTGTGTTTGTATTTGCCCTTCAATTTGATCATAAATGCCTTGGTGGCAATGAATATACATAGCTATTTCTGCGTCCTAAGTAGCATATATGTAGGTTTTGAATACAAGATTGATAAATGTTTGTCTTGTGAAATTAAAATAATTACTGATGTCTACATATTGTTTCCAGCTTGCTTCTCTGTTGTTTCCTCTTTAGATATGCTAGATAACCACTTCAATATGATTCTTCTTATGTAAAACCTCATATATTCTCAAAATTATAATGTATGCATTCAACTAACTGTACATCTACAGTACAGTAAAAAATGAGATTGTAGTAAGTGAAAATGCATTTGTAAGTATAGGCAAATTTTTAGGCAAGACACCTTATAAAGATCACTTTAGAAATTAGATCAAGTAAAAATAAATCACAAAAAGAAACGTGAATTAGTCATCTTAAACATTGTTTTAGGCAGTAAAACAACATTGAAAAAAGAGGATCTTGTAAAGCCTGATACTTGATTCCTATAGGATAACTAAATCAAATCAGATGTTTTAGAGGTAATGGTCACCTGATTGTTTTCTCTTGAGTTTTTTCATTTAATAGGTGCAGTGGTTCTTGCAATGAGGAATTTTTTTATGGAAATGTGAAATAAAGTACAGAAATTCCTAATGAAAACCTGTCTTTTAAGTGGATCTCTAAATTCTAAGAAAGTGCTTATATTATCTTAGTTATTTAGCCATTAGCCTGTCAATCATTAGGAAAGTAAGAGCAATTTACAAAGCATCTACCACTGTGCTAGTACTTGCTCACATGTTCTCGTCCACCTAAGGGAATATTCAAAGCATCTTAATAGTTGCTACTAATTCACATAATTTAATTAATAGAATAGCAAATACATTCTCATCTTATTTCACATTTTTAACATACACAAGATATAGCTATTTTATAGTGATTAGGTTTAGTAAAAATAACACTGATAAAACTCAACTGTTAGCATGTACAGTTTTAGGCTATATATTTTTCAAAACAACAAAATATAATTTTTTTAGACTCAACTTGAAATTTTGTAAAAAATAAAGTTTCAGAAATAGTAAACTATCACAGAACAAGAAGCATAATAGAAAGTAGAAATTGTTTTGATATAAAAAATACTATAAATAAAACGGCTAAATGTTTGTTAATATTCATATACTGATACCAAATATTAGATGCCTTGAATCACTAAATTAAATTGTCCCTAAATATTACATTTATTATTTAAAATGTTGCTTACAAACCTCAAGAGATATTTTTGCCAGCTTATAGATGGGAGAATTTAAAAAGATGTTGATGTTTTTAAAAATAGCTTTTAGAAAAACAACAAAGTGATTTTATGTCTGGAAGTGAAGACCCTTGGAGGAATTTTTCTCATGGACTGTCAAAATATATACCCAAACCATAAGTGGATGTCTGAGTAATAATTCATTTACTTTTATTTGATTTGTCAGGTTTTATTTTTCAAAACAAGAGTCAGAATAAGTGATGTCTTTTAGTTGGACTTGTTTCTATTGTTTATTAACATATCCAAGGAACACATAGAGTGAATTGGCAGAATATAATCATATTATCAAATAATTATTAGTTTAGTCAGTTTCATAAGCCTAGATAATCAAATGAAAATACATAATAATATAATTATGTCATAATTTTTATCAAAATTTTAAAATTAATGAATTAAATCCAGCTACCAAAGATAAGGGTTTGTGAAAAGTAGATACAATATTAGAGTGGAGGTTGTAATGAAAACTCAGAATGGGCTATAGTATTAAAAAAAAAATAAAGACCTCCAGTATTTTTTTTTCTCAAAATGGCAGATTAGAGTCATGGTTAGCATGCATCTCCTATTTGGAAAGACAGAATTGTGTGTAGAGATTGACACTGTAAATTTTTTCCAAGAAGCAACACAGAAAATTAACAGGAAAACCGAAAGAAAGCACAGACTCTTTGAAAGAAGTGTCAGGTTGCTGTCTACATCATGAGCCAGGAGGAAAACTATAAGTCCCTAGAATGTCAGATAGGGATAAACTGCCTCTAGGACATATACTCCTACTGGGGAACCAAGCAATCCAGGCCACAGGGAAAGGCCTTAATCCCACCCAGTGCTGGAGCTGATTTAGTGAGGAGTGGGGCATATATGAGAAGTAGCAGCATGGGGATGGGCTTAGTGTGCATGCCCAGCAGGACAGAGGAAATCCATCCCTGATCCTACCTCACAGGGGACCTCACAGAAGTCAGCCAGGTAACTCAGGCAGTGGTCACAGGTTGCGAGAAGCTCTCAACTGAGATTCGTGATATAATCTCGAGTGGAGACGAACCCCCTTGGCCACAACCATGGGGCAGATGGGAAATGTGCTGCAGCCATAGGTGCAAGAACTGGGTGCCCCTGCTTCATGGGCCGACTAGGAGAGGCGTGACCTGGAAGCCATGGTTGCAGTCTCTTCTGGGAAGTCTTATGGCCTTGGGCAGTGTTGAGTTCTGAGTGTTGACTGCTTGGAACCAAGCTGCTGCGAGTGGGACGTTGCAGGTGCAAGACCTGCTTTGCCAAGTGTGTGGGAGCTGAGCGGGGCTAACTGCTGCCTGCTGCTCCCTATTCCTCATACAGATGCTTCTCTGCAGCAGAGGCAGCTATGGTACTCCCTGCAACATTACTGCTACAGCCAGAGGACCACTATCTGATCCCCACTGGGGACACTGCTTTTGCCCACACATGGCAGAAAAAGAGAGCCAGAATGTGAACTTGCCTGATCCAGCCCCCAACTGGCTTTGCCCCTCCATCTGCCCTGGTAGCTTAACACAAAGAATAGAAAATTTTGAGAGCTCAATGGCCCTGCCCATTGCCTGAGTCATCAGATTACCTCCCCTGGGTAACATAAGGCAAGCACAAATCCCACTGCTACCAGCTGGTGCTCTTTTTCAAGTGCCACCTTGTGGCTGGAGGCCTACTGACACAATCCATTTCAGCATCTGCAGGCACGATAACAGTGCACAGGAAAGAGAAAACTTGTGTGTGACCTAAGCTATCACCTTTGCCTATATAACCTTGGCTAACTAGGAGGTCCTGAGTCTGTCCATGTGACCAGTTCATTACTACTACAGGTGGCATTACAGAAAAACCAATGCACCAAGACTACTTATAATCAAGAAATCTCACAAAGTCTATGTCATTCTCCTGTCAGCCCCATGAGAGCTGTTGTTGCTACTCACTACTGAGTCTTGAGAACAGATCACATCACTGGGTCCCTTGCAGACATTCCCCAGCACCAACCTGGAGTGTGGCAGTCCCACTAGGTGGCTAGAGACAGATAAGTAGCAGCATTCATACTAGTCTGGCCCTCAGGGACTCCTACACTTAGGATAAGGGTGAGTGCACATCAGTGGCACACCCCATGGAAAAAAGAATCTAGATGGCAGGACTTGAGTCCAGAACTTCCCACCTGTGGAAAGTTTCTTTCAGTAGAGGCACAGGTACAGTGCTGGACTTGGGAAAATCTGCAGAAGGGTCTTGAAGAAAAAGACTTTCCCCCCTCATTCACCACTGCAGACACAGCTGGTGTTTCTCTTATGGGAATTTAGCATGAGTGGACCTGTAGATAGCCTTTCTGGAACACTTCAAGTTAACTGCGTCCCCAGAGGAGGAGTCCCCTCCAGATTCAGATTTGCGTAAGGCATAGAATCACAATCTCTCTCTACTTGGAACGTCAGAATTCCTGCAAATAAAAAGGGCCTGCTAATCTGAATAGCTAGAACTGTATTTAGGGGTGTGACCTGCTTTCCTGGGGGCCTGGCAAGGGAGCTGAAGTGGCTCCCTCCCTTCCCCGTGAAAAGACCTCAGTGCATTTCACTAAGAGCTCCCACAGATGCCTCAGTCAAGGCTTGGACTTCTTCCCACCATTGGGTATTGCATTTACCAATCTGCTGGTTTTCATTCAGGGACACCTACCCTACTGGCCTGAAATCTGAATTATTCAACCAGGTAAAGAAAACACTGGGAGAAATAAAAAGGCAAAAAAGTGTACACCACTTGGGAACTAGATAAGCTTCATAAGACCTCTGCCATTGCTACCCCACAGGAAACAGTGAACCTCCACACACACGCTGAGCATAATGTTACCACAACTAGCATCTGAGAAAGCCAAAACACAAAGATTTTAAATAACCAGGGAACTTATACAGTCTTCACCCCTGAAAGCACCCAGAGCTGAATTAGGTTACAATAAACTATAAACATTAAAGTCACATCCTCAAGGTGAAAAAAAAAGTGAAAAATCACACTCAAATAAAAAAATAAATTCAAAAATAATTAGAAGATATAGTCTCAAAAGTAATTAGGAGATATACTCTACCCAAATGAGAAGAAACCAGAAAAATAATTCTGGCAGTAGGACAAAATAGGGTTCTATAACACCTCAAAAAGAACACAGTAAGTCCCCAGCAATGGATCCCAACCAAGATGAAATCTTTGAAATGCCAGAAAAAGAATTCAAAGAAATAAGCAAAGTCTCTTAGAAATAGGTGATTATGTAAAATGGCCAAATATAGCAATTGCTGTTCCTGAGAGAGAAGAAACAGCAAAGCCTTTTGAATACTTATTTGAGGGCATAATTGAAGAAAACTTTGCTAGCCTTGCTAGATATTTAGATGTCCAAATACAAGAAACTCAATGAGCTCTGGGGAGGTTCACTGCAAAACTGACATTACAAAGCCATATAGTAATCAGGCTATCTAAAGTCAACATGAAGAAATGAATTCTAAGGACAGTGAGACAAAAGCATCAAGTAACCTATAAAGGAAAACCTATTAGACTAACAGCAGACTTCTCAGCAGAAATCTTACAGGCCAGAAGTTCACTCTATCTTTAGGCTTATCTTTAATATCCTTAGACAAAATAACTATTAGTCAAAAATTTTGTATCCAGCAAAACTGAGTCTCATAAATGAAAGAGAAATAATGTCTTCCTCAGACAAGCAAATGCTGAGGGAATCTGTCCCTATCAGACCAGTCCTACAAGAAATGCTAAATCTTGAAACAAAAGGTTGAGCTGCATCAGAATAGACGTCTTGAAAGTATAAAACTTATAGGGTCTATAAAGCAATAACAAAGTGAAAAAAAAAACCCTAAAATTTCTAGGTAACAACATACTGACTGGAATGCCACTTCACGTCTCATAATTGAAATTGACTGTAAATGGTCTATATACACCACTTAAAAGACACAGAATGGCAGAGTTGATTTAAAAAAAATCACAAACCAAATATCTGCTGTCTTCAAGAAACTCACCTAACATTCAAAGATTCTCATAGACTCAAGGTAAGGGGGTGGAGAAAGATATTCAATGCAAATGGAAACCAAGAGCAAGCAGGTGTAGTTACATCAGATAAAGTAGACTTTAAAGCAACAATAGTAAAAAAAAAAAAAAACAAAGAAAGTCATTACATAATAATTAAATAATTAATTCAACAAAATATAATAATTCTACATAAGTATGCACATAACACTGGAGCTCCTACATTTATAAAACAATTACTACTACACCTAAGAAAAGGAATAGACAGCAACACAATAATAGTGAGGAACTTTAACACTCCACTGACAGCACTAGACAGATCACTGAAGCAGGAAGTCAACAATAACAACAAAAAAACACTGGACTTAAGTTGCAGTCCAGAAGAAATGGACCTAACAGATGTTTACAGAACATTGTACCCAAAAACTGCAGAATTCACATTCTTCTCATCAACACATAGAACAGCCTCCAAGATACACCATAGGATAGGCCACAAAAACAAATCTCAATAAATTTTAAAAAGTCAAAATTATATAAAGTATCTTCTCAGGTCACAGTGAAATAAAACTAGAAATGAGCTCCAAAAGGAACCCTTAAAACTATATAATTACCTGGAAATTGAACAATCTGCTTCTTAATGATTATTGGGTTAGCAATGAAATGAAGAAAGAAATTAAAAAATTCTTTAAATGGATGATTACAGTGACACAAGTTATCAAAACCTCTGGGACATAGCAAAAACAATGCTAAAAGGAAAGTTTCTAGCACTGAACACCTACATAAAAAAGTCTGAAAGATTACAAATTGACAACATAATGTCATACCTCAAGAAACTATAGAAACAACAAATCAAACTTGAAGCCAGGAGAAGAAAAGAAAGATTAAAGCAGAACTAAATGAAATTGAAATAAAAATACAAAGTTTAATGAAACAAAAAGTTGGTTATTTGAAAATAGAAATAAAATAGATCATTAGTTAGAACAATTAAGATTGTTAGAACAATTAAGATTGTTAGAACAATTAACAATTGTTCTAACAATTAGTTAGAACATTAGTTAGAACAATTAAGAAGATAGAAGTTTAAATTAGCTCAATTAGAAGTGAAAATGGAAACATTTTAACCAATATCACAGAAATATAAAAGATCATTTGAGACTACTATGTAACCTCTATGCACATAAAAATAAAAGTAAAGAAAACAGACAGATTCCGGGAAACATACAACCCTACAAGCTTAAACCAGGAAGAAATAGGCATCCTTACAGACCAATAACAAGCAGTGAGACTGTATAAGTAAGAAAAAAAAATTGCCAACTAAAAAACCCAGACAGATCACAGCCAAATTCTATCAGACATTCAAAGAAGAACTGGCACCAAGCCTACTGAAACTACTCTAAAAGATTGAGAAAAAGGGAATCCTCCTTAACTCATTCTATGAAGCCAGTATCACCCTGATACCAAAACCAGAAAAAGGCATATCATAAAAAAAGAAAACTACAAATGAATATCTCTGATAAAGACATATGCAAAAATTCTTAACAGATACTGGCAAATCAAATCCAAAAGCATATCAAAAAGACAATTCACTATAATCAAGTGAGTCTCATCCCAGGGATGCAAGGATGACTCAACATACACAACGTAATAAATGTGATGTATTTCATAAACAGAATTAAAAACCAAATACATATGATCATCTCAATAGATGCATAAAATCATTCAGTAAAATCCAGCTTTGCTTTATGATAAAAACCCTAAACAAACTAGACATAGAATAAACATATCTCAAAATAATAAAAGCTATATATGACAAACCCATGGCCAACATCATATTGAATGGGGAAAAGTTGAAAGTATTCCCACTGAGGGCTAGAACAAGTTAAGGATGCCCATTTTCACCACTTCTACTTAACATAGTACTGGAAGTCCTACCCAGAGCAATCAAGCAAGAGGAAGAAATAAAGGGCATCCAAACTGGAAAAGAGGAAGTCAAATTATCTCTGTTTGCTGATGATGTAAGCATATACTTAGTTAAGCCTAAGAATTCCACCAAAAGACTCTTCCATTTGATGAATGAATTCATAAAATCTTAGGTTACAAAATGAATGTACACGAATTAGTACTACTGCATAGCACCAACAATGATCAGGCTGAGAATCAAATCAAGAACTCAATTTCTTTTACAATCACAGCAGAAAAAAAATTGAAATACACTTAACCAAATAAGTGAAAGATCTCCATAAGGAGAGCTACAAAAACTGCTGAAATAAATTAGAGATGATATAAACAAATGGAAATACATCCCATGCTCATGGATAGAAAGAATCATATTTGTGAAAATGATCTTACTGCTAAAAGCAATCTACAGATTCAATGCAATTCCTATCAAAATACTGACATCATTTTTCATAGAATTAGAGAAAGCAATTCTAAATTCTTATGAAACCAGAAATGAGCTTGAATTAAAAAAGCAACTCTAAGCAAAAAGAACAAATCTGGAGGCATAGTGTTAAGAGACTTCAAGTTATAATACAAGGTTTTAGTAATCAAAACAGCATGCATGGTACTGGTATAAAGGTAGATAAATAAACCAAAGGAAAGGAATAGAGAAACCAGAAATAAAGCCAAATGTATACAATGAACTGATCTTCCACAAAGCATTCAAAAACATAAATAGGAAAGGACACCCTATTCAATAAATGATGCAGGGAAAACAGGATAGCCACATGTAGAAGAATGAAACTGGATCACTCTTTCTCACCATCCACAAAAATTATAAGATGGATCAGACTTAAATATAAAACCCAAAATCATAAAAATTCTAGAAAAAAAACTAAGAAAAACACATCTGGACATTTACCTAAGCCAAAACTTTATGACTAAGACTCCAAAAGTAAATGCAACAAAAACAAAAATAAATAAAAAGGACATAAGTAAACTAAAAACCTTCACAGCAAAAGAAATAATCATCACAGTAAACAGATAACTCAGAGAATAGAAGAAAATATTTACAAAATATGCATCTACCAAATAATTAATATCTAGAATTAACAAGGAAAACAAATCAGCAAGAAAAAATAATCCCATCAGAAAGTAAAAAAAAATGACATGAATAGACATTTCTCAAAAGAAGATATACAAATGACCAACAAACATATAAAAAATTCTCGACATCACTAATCATCAAAGAAATGCAAATTAAAACCACAGTGAGATACCATCTTTTCCCAGCATAATAGGCATTATTAAAAAGTCAAAAAAAACAAACAAACAGATTTTGGCATGAATGTGGTGAAAAGGGCATGCTTATACATTGCTGGTGGGAATGTAAATTAGTACATCCTTTATGTAAAGCATTACGCAGATTTTTGAAATAACTAAGAGTAGATCTAGCATTCAGTCCATGAATCCCACTACTGGTTATCTACTCAAATTAAAAAAAGTCATTGTATCAAAAATACACCTGCATGTATATGTTTATTGCAGTACAATTCACAATTACAAAGATACAGAACCAACCTAAGTGCTCCTCAACCAATGAGTGGATAAAGAAATGTGGTAAACATACATCATGACATACTACTCAGCCCTAAAAAGAATGAAATAATGTCATTTGCAGCAACTCCAACTGGAGCTGGAGGCCATTATTCTAAGTGAAGTAACTCAGGAATGGAAAACCAAATATCATATATTCTCACTTTTAAGTGGTAGCTAAGCCATGGGTATGCATATAGAGTGGTATAATGGACATTGGAGACCACTAAGGGGGAGAGTAGGAGGTGGGCGAGGGATAAAACACTACATATTGGGTACAATGTACACTACTTGGGTGACAAGGGCACCAAAATCTCAGACTTTACCACTCTGTAACCAAAAACCACTTGTTCCCCAAAAGCTATTGTGTTATATATGTATATTACATATGTCTAAGTATAGCCATAGATATCCAGGATATTTTTTTTAATCCTTAAAAAACCATATGATTTAAGAGAACTTAAAGTTATTAAAAATATATTATTATTTTAATTATCCATCTCCCCTGGTAGTATGCTATGCAAATAATAATGAGGAGATATTAAAGGTCCCTGGGTTTCTCATGGATTCTCTCAAAGCACTAGCTTCTTGAGACTCTTCACACACTGAGAGAATTAGATCTGTAGCCCTTTGTCCAGTTAATTTCTCTGATTTGAAACAATAGAAAAACTTCTTTTACTCCCCTAAGAGGGTCAAATTTTTAAAATCCTTAGATTACTAGGTTCCTAGGTTAAGTCCTAGGGTAAAAGGAAGACTAGGTTTTGGTATTCATATGTCAAAAGATATGAGGTTCCAGAATTTGGAGACAGCTATAGGTCATAAAAACTTGGAGACACAGGGTTATTTGGCTCCAGGAGAGATTTTACAACATTCCAAAAGTTTGGAATAAAGAAGATATCCTCTTAGAAGGACAGAAAAACAGCCGTTTCCATCCTATTATAAGTAGAAAAACAAAGACAAGGAAAAAAAACATTGTTCTTAATTTCTTGCTTTCAGAGAGTCTGGCCTCTCACTAGGATGATCTGGATCTCTTTATACTGTCCAAAGATAAGAACTGGGAAAAGGAGCAGCCAACACACATTATTAAGAAATCTGTTTCTGACTGAGAACACAGTGTGGACATTTAAAATAAAATTAACAAACTTGAGCCCAGGAGTTTGAGGCTGCCATGAGCTATGATGGCATCACTACACTCTAATGTGGGCAACTAAGTGAGAACTAGTTTCTAAATAAATAAAGAAATAAATACATAAATAGTAAAATGAATAAGATGAGTATTAAAAGCCCAAAAACAGATTCTCAAATTTTGTTGAATATGTGAATGGATGAATAAATATGAAATGTAGACGGAGACATTAGGAAGAGGTTAGCTTTCACTGAAAAATATACACAAATCAAATTCCAAATAATTAAATATGTAGAATATAGCTTGTTTACAACAATAAAAAATAATGTTCTCTCTCAGAGAAAATTAAGAAAATCAATTTAAACTCAACTGTTATAGAAAGAAAGATTACTATCTATTTAGCAGTGCTTAAAAAGGAGGTCATAGAGAATTAATTCCAATATAAACATGAACAGCAATGCAAAAAATTTGGAGTCAATGTAAAATATTATTTGATGGTGTGAATAAATAATGAAATAAATGTTCATAAGATAAATTGTTGAAATAATTTGAAATCATTTTTGAATACTTATTGAAATAATTAAATAAATTGTTCATGAAAAATTACTCCTTTTGAGGAAGACAATCCTCATTTTACTACAATTTCATTATTTTATATTGGCAAGAGAAGAAATACTTTGAAAAACATTAATAAAGTTTACTTAAACAGGAGTATGATCCTCTTTCAGATGCAAAATACAAGATAGGGGATGGAGCAAGTCTACCTTCCTTAAAAAGGTAGCTGAAGTCATCAGGAATTGTTTGTGTCATGCTACAGACCTATACTGAAGAATAATAAATGAAACAGACTTATGAACTCACCAGATATATTTACACTAAGCATACTGATTAGAAAGCTCTCCTCATGTAATTTCTTCTTCCTGAACGATCTCAAAAAATATAATTTCAGGTCTAGATAATTGAAATAAAAGTGCATCCCTGAAACAAATTATTTAGCTCTTACTTTTTATAAATACTCTAATTGCTAAACTTATCAGGATCATGACCTACTTTGTATAGACAAATTAAATTCTAATTCTCCAGATCACAATATATAGGCTTTAAGTCACCATAACTTTTTCCCATTTGCCTAATTTCTGCCTTTCTTTGAGGTCTCTACCTTTTGTAACTAGTTTTTAATTTGTAAAATATTTACTTAATATTAGCTGATTTATAATGAATTAGTTTAGACTAGAATGGCATTTGAATACTTGTGGAAAATAATATCACTTGTAGACCTAGAATACTTTGGTAGCTACTTCATTTTCTCTGTCTCTTTCTGAAAAGTTAGCCAGCTTGCTTTAGGCAGACAGTAAGGGAAAGTTCCCCCCAGAGAACCTGCTACCTGCTCCACAAGTATTTATACCAGATGTTTTGTGCAGATAAGGGTGCTTGCTCCGGGGGCTTGCCTAAACATGCCCGCAGTGGAAAATTTTGTTTCTTAACACATGGGCAGTAAGAAAAATAAATCAATATGGAATGTCTCAGACTAAGGGTCTGCATGCACTCTGGAAGGATGCAGTGGAGCCTACAGGAATTCATGCCTTATACAAATAGGGAACTCAGCCCGATCAGCTTATATAAAAATGCCTTTGTATTCACCTGTGAAGAGGGCAACCAGGAACCTACTTTCAGGACTCCTCTCTTTGCTGAGAGCTTTCCTTTAACTTAATAAATTCTATACAATTCAGAACAATGTGCTCTCCCTCCGTTTTTAGAGACATGTCCCTTACCCCAACCTCCAATGGCCACAGGTACACATGTGAGACAAATGGGAGAGCGGCATCTCCCAACCTCCCTCCCCTCCCGGCTGGGGCACATAACCCAAGGGCCCCACTTGCCTAGGTGGCCAGCATTTCCTGCTCACTCTTCCCTCTCCCCATGCACCCACAGTGTCTTTCCTCCCCTGGCTGAGCCAGAAAGGAGGAGACAGCAATTAAAATGTTCTCTCCCTATTGGAGGAACTCATTTGCATAAAAATAAAAGGTTTCTCCTCCAGGCATCTTCCCCACCCTGCACTTAAGCTGTTTTATTTTATTTTTTTTTCTTTTCTCCACTTTGTAAGGAGTTAACTTTTATGAGAGGTTTTTTTTTTTTTTTTTTTTTTTCTTATTAGGCCAGGACCCCAATTCCCAAGATAGCCTTTTCTCTCCCTTGGTTAAGGAAGACCCAGCTCCAAAGCTTTAGGTTAGCATGACTAATTTCTGCCGATTAGGCCCCCTTCCATCTCGTGGATAGAGGTCATTCTAGTATCCATGGCATGCATGAAATCTAGGGAACTCAAAGGTTATCGACAACAGTGGGACTAGCAGCGCATGGGTAATGGTGGATAACTCGCACCCTGTAAGGCCCCTGTTAACATAGGTGAAAGCTGCATTGGCACCCATGGGTGGTAACCTGCCAAGATCACCAGGACTCAGGGATATAAGAACAGAAGAAAGAAAGAGGACACTTTTCTCCTCTCCCTCATGTACCTCAGGTATTTACTAGGAAAAAGAAGAAACGAGGGATGCCTTGCTCCCCTCTTCTTAGGTGGGTAACCAATCATCTGCAGCCCATATTTCTCTTGATTGCCTCCTGAATCACTAGGACTCCTCTGAAAAAACACCTTCTTTCTCCTTTTTCCTCCTCTGTCCTCTCTTTGTGGGTGGGTCATTGTGTCTCTGTACCACAGGACACTCCCTTCGGATGCATCCCTTAAACTGGGAAAAGTTAATTTCCCCAAACCTTAAACTGCTTGGCTCAAAACTGAGCATGAAAAAGGGCAACTCAGAAGCCTGGTACACCAGCAAAGGGGTAAAAGTTCTTACCAGGGCCGGGTGCAGTGGCTCACGCCTGTAATCCCAGCACTTTGGGAGGCCAAGGCAGGCGGATCACGAGGTCAGGAGATGGAGACCATCCTGGCTGACATGGTGAAACCCCGTCTCTAATAAAAATAACAACGACAACAACAACAAAAAAAAATTAGCCGGGCGTGGTAGCGGGCACCTGTAGTCCCAGCTACTCCGGAGGCTGACGCAGGAGAATGGCGTGAACCTGGGAGATGGAGCTTGCAGTGAGCAGAGATCACACCACTGCACTCCAGCCTGGGGACAGAGGGAGAGTCTGTCTCAAAAAAAAAAAAAAAAAAAAAAAGTTCTTACCAGTCAGACTTCTGGCCTCCCTCTCCCTGTGCAAACCAGTTGAATAAATGATAAAATCTCTGTTTAAATCACTGTTTATATCCTCTCTGAAGTTCTGATAAATAGAAAAAAAGGATTTATGAGGCTAGTCTTAAGCTGTAGCCAATGTAGTGTGCTTTGTGTGTCTTTCTGTATAGTTCTGTCATAAAGAGGGGTACCTTAGGATAGAATGTAGGCCTAGGACCCCAAAAGTTTGCTGATCAAGCCAGCCTGGCAAACTGGTCAGTAACAAACCTTGCTGCAGTTCTTCATCTTGTTTTATGTCCTTAGGAGCTTGACCTTGTAACCACTTGATAACATAGGGAATGAGTATATTTTGGTTAATATCTGTGTGACTTTTACCATTTGCTGATTCTCTTCCCCTCTACAAACAACTTCTAGCTTCCTTTCTTAAATCTTCCTTTGTCTGAACCAACTTTAAAGATCTTAGTTTCTGTAAAAACTGCTTAGCACCTCTTTGAAAATAACTTTTACACTTACAGTTAAGTCATAACCTTAGTTGAGGCTTGTTGGTTTCACCTGTGAGGTTATTTTTAATAAAGTTCAAAAGCCAGAAATATTGGCTGCTCGGCATGGCTAAAGTTGGGTAATAGATTTGAAATGATTTTCTTAGAGCACAGCTGAATTAAAATGGATATCCAAGTTATAGGTATATTTAAAGGCCTTTAAATTTTTCTCTGCATGGATCTTGTTTTTCTGGAAAAAGGTTCTTTCTCTGTTGAATGATTTTTTTTTTTCCCATTTTGTCTTGTCATTCAGTGCATACATGAGAGGCTCTAAGATAACTTCTGATAGCCTGGGGCTCCTGGGAAAAAACAAAGAAGGTGCCGCAGACCCCATTTTGGGGAAAAAAACACCCTCTGTTTTCCTCATGAAACCCCAGGAATTAAAAGTGGATAGATCCTTCTCAAAATCTATCTCTGTCTTCCAGCTATGCCTGTTTATTAGGCCCTAGAAACTGTAGGCTGTCCTAGGCCCTGCTCTTGAAGGGCTTCACCCAGAGGCCAATAATCTATTCAGGAGATTGGCAAATGAAAAATCTTACAAGTACTGAATTTGCTTTTGTTCATCTGTGTAATTTTATATTTCTTATGGGCATGATGTTTATATAAAAAAGCTCTAGGAAAATAAGCACTTAGATCAAATATTTTTTGAAGAAAAATAAAAGCTGTAATACCTTTCGAGTTCACATGATTATAATCTTTAAGAAATAAAGGCAGTTTTAAAAATAATTGGTAAAATACAAATGTCTTTAAAACGTAAATATGTGGGCTGAATCATGTAGGTCAGACACTAGGTTAGCTAAATGATTCAAAGTTATTAACTGCTTCTTTGGCTTTTAAGAACTATTTGATAAAGTTTGGCTCTGTGTCCCCACCCAAATCTCATCTTGTAGCTCCCGTAATTTCCATGTATTGTGGCAGGGACCCAGTGGGAGATGACTGAATCATGAGGGTGGGTCTTTTTATGCTGTTCTCGTGACAGTAATGGGTTTCATGATCTGATGGTTTAAAAATGAGAGTTTCTCTGCACAAGCTCTCTTTTTTGGTTTGCTACCATCCACATAAGATGTCACTTGCTCCCCCTTACCTTCTGCCATGATTGTGAGGCCTCCTCAGCCATGTGGAACTGTAAGTCCAATTAAATCTCTTTCTTTTGTAAATTGCCCAGTCTCAAGATTGTCTTTATCAGCAGCATGAAAATTGACTAATACACTATTCAATTTGCCTGCTTCACAATTAATAAGTCCAGGGACATATGGAATTAACCACACCCTTAATTATGCAGGAAGGAATCAGAATTTATTTATGCCTACTACATAATTAAAGCAACTTGCCAGGTTTTACATTAAAGTTAAAAATTGCTAACAGTTACCATAATAACCTGTAATAGAGACAATGAAAATAGATTTACATATAACATAAGTAAGGAAAGTAAAATATATTTTTAGTAAAAGATTATAAGAATGCATGAAAATGTAAATTTTTGCCTTGGGTTAAAGGATTGTTTTGAATTAGATAAGATAAAGCTGAAGGTTTAAACAATTGGTGAAAGGTTTGTAAAAATTAATCTTGCAAAAGAAATTGTGTGAACATATTGACTAATTTCAAAAAAGTATTTTGTTTTTGTAAATTGAGCATTGAAATAAAAGCACAACAAGGTTTTCTAAAGGCACTGATACGCTCTTTAACAACAATTTGTAAAGGGTTATAAAAGTTTAAAAAAATCTCACCTCATGGTCAACCTAGATAAGATTAGATATAATTGTCTATAAGTTTTCATTAAAAAAATTGGGGTTGACATCAGCAGTAGACTAATGCAAGGATGAAATTAGGCTTTCACTTGAACAGGATTTCCCTGTAAAATTAACGACAGATTGTTTGGAAAGCTAAGTTTTCCCTCTTACTGTGAATATGCTTTTGCGTTGTTTTAAAATGTTTGAGTCATCATTTTGGCTAAAATAAATGACATATGGTAACTTGGAATTCTATTTTATAATATCAAGTGCTTTGAACCTCTAACGTATTTAACAGGCTTCCCAAAATCAAACTTCAGTTTCAAAATTGTCTTTCCTGGTCCCTGGAACATCCAAAAGAGAAGAAAACTGGATTTTTTGAAATGTTTAGTTATATGGTATTTCCAAAGTTATATTTAATCTTCTTTAGGTTATATTTTAGTGAATAATATTAATATGTTTCAAAATTATATGAGATTTCTAAAATTCTAATGTCTGAGTATATGCTATCAATCATGATTAAGGTTATTATGTTTCGTTATTGTAAACCCTAGAAATAACTAAATTTCTTTGTCAATTGTATTCTTGACAGTAACTACCCTGGACATTTCATCTTTCACAGACAAATGACTTGTTTTGATCCTACTCAAAAGATGATTTATAATCAGCTATAGGATTTTGACAAGTGTTCTCAATGCAAGATTCCATTAACTCTGGAGATTATGACATTGAAAAAAATACAGTACTCATGAAGAACTGAAATGTTCATGAATATCAAGCAGAACAAGAGAACAGAATGGATTGAACTAATAGAAAACAAGTATTATTTTTAACCTTTTTGCTTAAAACTTTGGTGATCCTTGCTTTGTTTTTCTGAGTCAAGGATACTTATTTTGAACTATTTAAAGCCTTTAATAATTGAGTAAACTATATGCCTGTGAACAAAATTTGAAGGACGTTTGTTTCTCTCTGCCTGGCTTTGCCAGAATTTGGAAACTATTTGTGAGAATATTTAATTTATGGCAATACAGTTATTTTCATCAGTGCAATAAGAATACATTTTCTTTTGCAACAGGACACGATTGAAGAAACTGGTGGTTTTACCGAGGCTTTTACTGGAAGGGTATATGTTCCTTTAAGTAATTAAGCTGGACTTGCCAATAAAAGTCCCTTGGGAAAACTGGCTACATACCTTGTCAACACAGTCCTTGTACAAGGTTCCTAACCCGTGGGGAGTAAAGCATGTCACTTTTTAACAGGGCTAGGAGCCTGTTAAAAAGCTCCTGGGCCTGTTAAAAAGCTTGTTCTTGGGACATCAAGAAGAGAATGATTTACCAAACTCGTAGATATTTGAGGATGGAAACCCATGGCTGGGCTTGGCCTTAAAAGGTCTTAACTGAGATTCCTTATGGAACAGAGTTCCATCAAAGCCAATTTAAAATCCTATGGGAAAAATAATTATTCTTGTTGCACTTTATGCAAATAAGACAAGTATAAGGCTAAAGTTTATTTTTCAAACAACTGAGTCCTATCATGATTTGTTTTTGACAAAAATGAGGACTGGAGAGAGAGAAATTATGTTTCAAAACTTATTCTACATTTGTCATTACATTATAATCCCATTAGTTGTTTTTAAGTTTTTGCCTACTTTTTAGACTACCCTGCTTATTCCTGTTGGACCAACCAGCAATGTATGGCTGCAGCTCAAAAGAACCAAAGAGATGAGTAATATAAAAAATCTGGATCAATATTTTAATTCTGAACAATTATCCTGCAAATCCTTCCAGGTGATAGGAGTAAATACGTGCCCATAACCCAGAGGTTTCTTTGTTTGGGAAAATAAGACCAAGGGAGCTAATCAAAGCCAAGCCCCATGAATACAAACCTTAGCAGGCATAACTATAGCCACGAGTTATCTGGCTGTATTGGCAGCCTTGAGATTTTTGTTTTGTTTTGTTTTGAGCTGTCCTTATCCCTTTGTTTCATTTTGAATGTGTCCTCTAATAACCCAAATTGTTTCTTCTCACTTAAAGGCCATTCAATTTCAAATGGTGATGCAAACAGAACCACTCATGAACACACCGTTCTCTTTGGGGACCCTTAAACTGACCTCAGGAGGAGCCTTAACTGCCACTTTCCCAAAACAGCACCCCTTGTCGGCAGGAAGCAGTTAAGAGCAGTAGTTGTACACTTTCCCCAACAGAATTTGGGGTCTCCACTCCTGAAGGGAGGAATGAAAGGAGTCAGCCAACTTGCTTTAGGGAGACAGTCAGGAAAGGATCCCCTGGAGAACCTCCTACCCACCCCCTAGGTGCTTATACCAAATATTTTGTGCAGATAAGGGTACTTGCTAAGGGAGCTTGCCTAAACATGCCCATAGTGGAAAATTTCGTTCCTTAACATATGTGCATTAAGGGAAATAAATCAATATGGAGCGGCACAGACTAAGGGCCCACATAACTCACCGGAAAGATGGAGTGGAGCAACCAGGAATTCACGTCTCATACAACCAGGAATTCACAGCCCTATCAGCTTGTATAAAAATGTCCTTGTTGCCGGGTGCGGTAGCTCACACCTGTAATCCAAACACTTCGGGAGGCGGAGGCGGGCAGATCACTAGATCAGGAGTTGGAGACCACCAGCCTGACCAACATGGTAAATCCCATATCTACTAAAAATACAAAAATTATCCGGGCCTGGTGACGTGTGCCAGTAATCCCAGCTACTCAGGAGGCTGATGCAGGAGAATTGCTTGAACCTGGAGGGCAGAGGTTATAGTGAGCCGAGATCACGTCATTGCGCTCCAGCCTCGGCAACAGAGTGAGTTTCTGTCTCAAGAAAAAAAAAAAATGCCCTTGTATTCAACCATTAAGGGGGCAACCAAGAACTTGGCATCAGGACCCCTCTCTTTGCTGAGAGCTTTCCTTTCACTAAATAAATTCTACTACACTTACTCTTTGAGTGTCCATGTGCCTACTTCTTCAGAACTTAGGCCTAGCTGGGCTAAGGAGCAAAAAACCCTGCATCATATCTCAAACTCAACCTTTAAGTTTTTGTCCCACTAGTCTCCTTAACATTTTGCAATACATTAAAATTGCTTCAAGGTTTTTTCAAAATGTGTTTTTGGTAATTCTGCTAATTTATGCTGTTTAAAACATCCTGGCTGAATGATTTCAAATAAATTTTATAACATCTATTTCCATTTTTTTCCACTCAGTACATATGAATCCACTGTTTAATCCAAATTTAAAGTAACAATCATTAAAGTAAATTAAAATGGAGTCCAGGCCTGAAGAATTTCTGAGCAGACAAAAGCAGTTAGGCATCATAAGTGATCTAAACCTTGATTGATCTACAGATATAAGGGAAACTTGAGCTATTCTTATCAATTTCTATGTTAAAGAAAAACAGAACTTAAGTTCAACCAATCAGAAGTAGCCAACACACATAATCATATAACTGAAGACTTTCCAATGGGATAGACCTAGTAAGGTACAACTTTGGTACCAAATAAGGTACAAATAACTGTACAACTATAAATAGTCAAACATTACCTTTAGTTTTCTTCTGTGCCTGTCCTCTAAAAGCCTCCCCCTGTGCTCCCTCAGTGGAGCTCTTAAGCCACTTTTATGGTTTGGAGCTGCCTGAGTCATAAATCATTGTGTAAATAACATATTTAAAATTCTATTGTGCCTTAGTTTATCTTTTAACACAGTGGTCCTCAACCCTTGGTAATGAGCTATGGCTAGTTAGGAATCAGATCATACAGCAGGAGGTGAGCGGCAGGTGAGTGAGCATTACCACCTGAGCTCTGCCTTCTGTCGAATCAGCTACAGAATTAGATTCTTATAGTAATGTGAACCCTATTATGAACTGAGCATGCAAGGGATCTAGGTTGTGCATACCTCATGAGAATCTAATGCTCGATGATCTGAGGTAGAACAGTTTCATCCCTGTATTAGTCAGGGTTCTCCAGAGGGACAGAACTTATAAGATATATGTATATATGAAAAGGAGTTTATTAACGAGAATTGACTTATACAGTCACAAGGTGAAGTCCCATGATAGGCTGTCTGCAAGCTAAGGGGCAAGGAAGCCAACAAAGACTTAGTTCAACTACAAAAGCCTCAAAAGTAGGAAAGTTGGCAGTGCAACATTTAGTCTGTGGCCAAGGGCCTGAAAGCCCCTGGAAAACCACTGCTGTAAGTTCAAGTGTCCAAAGCCTAAAGAACCTGGAGTCTGATGTCGAAGGGCAGGAAGCATCCAGCACAGCAGAATGATGAAAGCCAGAAGACTTGTTAAGTCAGCTTATCCCACCTTCTTCCACCAGCTTTGTTCTAGCCAAGCTGACAGTCAATTGGATGGTGTCCACCCACGTTGAGGATGGGTCTTCCTCTCCCAGTCCGACTCAAATGTTAATCTCCTCCAGCAACACCCTCACTGACACACCCAGAAACTATTCTTTACCAATTATCTAGGCATCCTTCAATCCAATTAAGTTGACATCTATTATTAACCATTATAATCCTAAAACCATCCCCTGCTCCCCTGTCCATGGAAATATTGTCTTCCACAAAACCAGTCCCTGGTGCCACAAAGGTTGGGGACTGCATAGAACTCAATGAAATGAGAAGTAGTTTCTGATTCAACTAATGTCTGTTAAGTGATTCTCTCTATAGATCCAAGTATTATGAGCCACCTCACACAATCACATTCATGAGATTTCTATTACTCTGTGTATTGGACTTCAAGGAAGGAATGGAATGCCATCATTAGGCACCAAATACTTCCACTATTGATTAGCATTGAGATTTTTAGTAAATATTTAGGAGTACTGGGGGACGAAGGAGAGACAACACTATTTATTCTTGTACTAGAATACTCATTTTTAATGCCTATAATTAAATCAATAGGAAAGTTATTGAGAAAATCTGGGCATTTTGAGATAATTGAAGAGTAAGTATTCCATATGTATGTCAGTTGAAAATTATTTTTGCTATTTGCTTTTGAAAGAATATAATAATGTTAGCAAATGAGCAAGGTAATTCCTGGCTGAATTATATAATTATTTACAGTACTTCCAAAGATATTAATCTATTACCATTATATGTAATTCATGGGGAATTATATTAAACAATAGATAAAATATCAAGTTAATGTGTTTCAGGACATCACTCACAGCATAATGAAAAACTAACTTACTTCTGTATTTCAATAGCTTCAATACCCATTCAACATTACTGTGCATTACAAATCTATTGGTAAATTGCTTGCAAAAATAAGACTGAAAACAATTTTAAATTAAGTGTACAAATTTTTCTCTTTTTCTTTTGAAATAATTAATATTTTATTTTATTACCATAGTTTCCTTTAACTCTATAATTTGAACTGAGATGTTTGGAGAAAAAATATTTTTAAAAGAATTTATAACAATAAGAATAACTGTTAGAATGCCAGTCCTATCAGGAAATGTTAGAAATATATAAGCAAAACTCAAAAGTAAATATCACTGTCTGTCTAACCATATTCCATGCGTAGCTTCTACTACTGTTCCCCAGAATTGACTGTTTTATCATTTCTCTTGACTTTTGATACATTTATTCATATATCCTCCATCCTCACTTAGTCCTTACTGTTTATACTTCGGCATCATATCAACCCTATCTTGCCACTTAAAAGACAAAGTAATACTACTTTTTCAGTTTTTTTTTTTTCATTTAATGTAAGAAGTTCTCATTTCCCCAATAGTGAAACGATGCAAAATGATTATTTGATGTATTGTCCAAATGGGTTCAGGTTTGTGACAGTCTCAAACACATCAGGGAGTAGGGACACCCTTCAGTTAAAGCACAAAGTTGTTTTTTAATCTGTATTTTATTTTTAAAAAAGATTTTTTCTCAATATCACATAAACATTAAGCTCTTTATTTTACCTCTCTATTTACTTATTTACATGATTTAAGATTGAACATTTTTCATTATCAAAAATATTTTCATATGTGTAAAATTGTTGAAATCTTAATTTTTCCAAAATGACAGCTGACTCCTCTTAAAGGTAATGGGAATCTTAGAATGTTATTTGCAAATCAGTCTACAGCATTCTTTTCATATATAAAATGTGCACTAATTTTTGAAATATTTGTAAATTAAATAGGTCATTTTTCTTTCAGGAGAAAGGAGACTTTGAGAGATTTTTGTGCAGGAGAAGAGTAGTTTTAAAAATAGGTAGTTTGCAATAGGGCAGACTAGTTTTAAAACTCTAAAATGAGAACAAGTCAATAAGATTCTCTTGATTAAATCTAGTGATCTTATTTATTTATGAATTGACATATAATAATTGTACATACTCATGGGGTATAATTTGATACCTGGATACCTATCCATGTTGTACAATGATCCATTCAGAGTGAATCTATTATCTTACATATTTATCATTTCTTTGTGGTGAGAACATTCGAAGACAACTCTTCAAGCTATTTTGTAATATACGATATTTCACTGTTAACCATACTTGCTCTACATGCAACAGAACACCAGAATTTATTGCTCTTATCTAGTTGTAATTTTATACCATCAATCAAAGTTTCCTCATCCTTCTTTTCGTCCTCCCGTCTTTAGTCTCCAGTAACATTTTTCTACTCTCTGCTTCTATGATATTAACTTTTTTAAATGTTTGTATTTTCTTTTTTTTTTTTAGACTCCACTTATGAGTGAGATCATGCTGTACTTGTCTTTCTGTGTCTGGCTTATTTCACTTACCACGATGTCTTCTGGATTCATCCATATTGTCATAAATGGCAAGATTTTATTTTTTATGGCTAAAGAGTACTTCATTGTATACAGATCGCGCATTTTCTTTATGCATTCATCTGTTGCCAGACACTTAGGCTTATTCTGTATCTTGGCTATTATACATAGTGCTGCAATAAAAATGACTAGATGCATTGCAATTAGCTTTAAAAAGATGGAACAGCATTGTAAGGACAGACCATGAATCTAAGCCCTTAGGTTGAATACTTAGGTTGAATAAAATTGTTGGAGGAAGTGGATATTTGATGTACGTAATGAAAGGGATTCTTACTTGGCAGGTATTATTAGAAGAAAAAAAAAAGAGAGAGAGAAAGTTGAAGGAGAGGGGAAAACTGCCACAGCAGGTTAAGCAACTTGCTTTAAAATAATTGGGATTAGTAAGTGTGCAAAGATAGAACTGGTGATGAAAGAGTGAGACTGGAATTAGGAATTAATCTGTAACATTAATGTTGCAGGTTGGGTCCTGGTTATGAGACTGAGCGGATGCTCATTCTTTGGAGCTATAACTCTGACCAGTGCCACATTAACAGATTTGGAAAATATGAGATTAACTATGAAGGTACAGAAAATAAAGGTGTTAAAATTATTTCTATATTTTAGATCTAATTGTTAATAATATAGTATATACACATACATACTATATTATATATATATTACATATATATAATAACATATATATGCAAAAAGCTATGGTAAATAGAAAACATTAGCTGGGCATGGTGGCTTATGCCTATAATCCCAGCACTTTGGGAGGTGGAGGCAGGAGGATACTTGAGCCCAGGGGTCTGAGACTAGCCTGGGTAATATGGCAAGACCATGTCTCTACAAAAAGTAAAGAAAAGTAGCTGGGCCTGGTGGCACACACCTGTCATCAAAGCTACTCTGGAGGCTGAAGTGTGAGGATCACTTGAATTCAAGAGGTCGAGGCTGTAGGGAGCTGTGTTCCAGCCCCTGCACTCCAGCCTGGGTGAGAGCACAAGACCCTGTCTAAAAAGAAGAAAAAGAAAAAAGAAACATTATTGAGGAGAAGAGATAAATAGAGTCTTAGAAATTTGAATTGATACATGAGTAAAGAATGACCCAATTATTTTATACTGGGAATGGGAAAATAAATTTTATACAAGTCCACAAAATAGTTTTTAAAGGATAGACAATATAATACAGGGGTTGGGGGCATGGTTACAACAATGTTAGAAACGCTGAAAGAGCAAAAGAGGCCTGCTACTCCAGATGATGAGCAAATGAAGGAAGCCACTTCCATCCTTAACTGTGAAAAATGAATAGGGGAAGGTGGTGCATTCTGGGTCCCATGATTCCAGACTGACCATTGGCCCTATTTGAGTGCAGCTGCTGTTAGGCAGAAACTCTGGACTCCAAACTCTCAGTAAAACTTCTGAAGACACTGCTGTTGCTATTGCAGCTGTCAGCACCATTGATTCAGCTGAGAAGCAGCCCAGAATTTCACACTGACACCCACGCTGTTGGTTGTGTTTTTTGAACCAGATTGAAATTAATATCTATTGTATGGTTCAATTGCTATGAAGTTCAATGTCAAGCAAATGTAATTTATAAAGATAAAAGTAAGAACAGTGGTTGCCTATAGTAATGATTGGAGGTTCACAATAGAGACTCCTGGATTCTAGTAATACTCAATTCATATTCATGTAGGTTGTGATGACATTCTAAAAATGTTTAAAGCTATATGCTTAAGATCTGTGTCTTTCACATGTGCATATCATATTTCATATTCCAATTAATAAATCAGTAAAAAAAGTTCCAGTTCAGGATACAATACTGTAGAACAATCCAAATTATTAATTTATTCCTAAAGTTTTTAAAATATTAGAATAAATACACAGCATTTTGTTAAAACAATATGGTAAACCTAAATGTAAAAAAAAAAAATTAAATTGAGTTAGGAGTTTCAAAAAGACATTTCATATGCCTTTTCAACTTTCAATTTCATATGAAAGTTGAAAAAACTTGAAATCAGTAAGTATGCATGTGTATGTAAAACAAAATTACTGCATATAAAAACTTCTTTGAGACATCTAGAAAATATTTAGCAGTGTGCCATAGTTTAGAGGCATTTTAAAATGCTTTTTAGTGGTACATAAAAAATTAATTAATGACAGTCTATGAAAAACAAGTAGAGCAGCTTGAAATAATTCACATATTTTTCACGTAAAACTTTTAGGAGAAGTCCAGTGATGTCACGATAGCTCTACAATGTTGATTTATTTTGTTGCTTTTATATGCTTATTTTATATATAAAATAGCTGAAAACAGCTATGAATTCTAAAGCATGGTAACAGGGGTAAAAGGTCACACACATTTCTTTTAGATGCTGCAAATATTGCTTCTGTTCACATGTTATGGTCCAAAAATTAGTTACATTGCCTCATCAAAGTGCAAGGAGGCTGGTAAATGTACTCTAATTTGCTAAATGCCTTGCAAGATATAGGGATGTATATTGAGAAGACAAAGAATGGAAGTGAGAATTACTTGTTATTTTGACTTCCAAGTATCGGAGAACATTCCCAAAGAAATATTATACTAAATTTCTGCCTGATTAATTATTTCAGCATCTCTTTCATGATCTTTGCTTAAGGGCAGTGCTGCCAGCTGAGGCTGCATAGAGTCTCATATTCCATAGACTAACTGTCTAGGGTAATTCAGACTTATAACCTAAGTTTATGTTACAACTTTTCTAACTTATGTTCCTTTGATGGAGTTTATCCTCATTGCCCCACCCCCCAACTGGTTTACTAATATAGTCTAAAACAGAAACATTATTCTTTTTATGTTCTTTAATCTCCATTGAAATAAACATAATTTGTAGAATTATTAACTAATAGAAATTAATTGAAAAGAAGCATCTTTCTTTTATATGAACAATGACACAGTTCATATTTATCTTGAAAACAGTTTTAAGCACAAGTAATTACCCTGAATATGTAAATAACCCATTTATAAGTAGGTCAATAGGGAAACCTTTCAACCAATTTCAAACATGGTATCATTTCTAGATCTTATGAAATAATGGAACATGTTTTGGAAGATAAGAGAAGTTTACTCAGCCAATAATAACAGGTCTCAATAAATTATTTTTTAACAGCTAGTTTATCCCTGGATATACCTTACTATATCCTATTTTTAGATATGGCATTTGAAAACCTCCAAGAATATAGAGATAATTTTAATTGAGCTATTATGGTTAGTATTTATTTTTAAAGTTCTGAATTTTCTTAAAAAATTCAATATTCTATGGTATATTAACAAGATTGATTGGAATAATGCATTTTTTTAATGTAGTGGGTTGGTGATATGTTTTTCTGCTGAGAAAGAAGGCTGTTCATAATCTTAAATTATATTAGGTTTTAGAAACAATGAAAATTGTGGGATTCCCTTAATGGCTTTCTTACACTTGAGTTCTAAAATATTTATCAATCTCAAATATATTTTACATTATGTTGAAAAATGACTATTAATAGTTTTTGCTGAAAAAAATTATCAACTTTTTGTGTATCACCATTTCAGAGTTGGGCTTATAAAAATATCAGTATCTGTCCTACATATATACCAATGTCTTTCAATTTTTAGTCAATTAAATATGTTTCATTGATTTTCTGCTGTGTGCCTAAAACTGTGCATGATGATATTATAGAAGGTACTGTGAAAAGGCTTAAAGCAGTATATTTAACCACTGCCTACCAGAGTAGTACATAGAGAAGCAAACCTAATCTATAAGCAACAATGAGAGCATGCTACAGATAACTTTTAATATTGTAAATATATATGATACGGATGATAAAATCTTTATGAAATAATCTATAGGAGAGGTGAAATGGGTCTCTGCCAGGAGAATGCAAAGGCAGTAAAAAATTAAAAACCAAAATATTGAGAATTATTTTGAGGAAAGTGTTAGTAGAATTTAATAATACATTTAATAGAAACATAAGATTAAAAATGCAAAGATGAATTCAAAGTTGCTTACATTCAAAAATAACTCATTAAATGTACAGTATTTTAAGCACACTTTTGATCTATGAAGAGTATAAATATGAATAAGACATAGTTCTTTATGCTAGACATAGAGAATATTTTTTGTACAGAAATAAAATCTAGAGTATGTAATATTAGGGGAAAGAAAATGCCTCATAGATGTCAATAAACCTTGTTCCCTCTATTTTTTTTTACTCATTTCATTTCCTGTAATAATTGTGGTAACAGTAATACTGAAACAATTAAACCTCCAACTCTTAAAACAATAAAAGTTATTGCTTGCTTAAATAATAGGAATGCTATTTGTGATTTCCCGCAGGGTCATTCAAAGATTCATTATTTTCCCATCTGTGGTTTTGCCATCCTCAATACATAGCTCTTGGGGGTTTTCTGTGGATTGTTTTAATGTTAGCCAACCAGAGAGAATAAAAAGAGTATTAAAAATTATTACTTGTGGGTCTATGTGACCCTGTAAGAAGGCTATATCACTACTATATACTTAGAACCTAAATTTCTATGCCAAAATATAGGCGAATATAGCAAATATTGTCCAAATTTACAGGGAAAGAGAAAATGAATTGTGTCTTCATCTTACAGTTTCTAATAAAATCCCCAACATTGAACTTAAATGACTCTCCAGTTGTTCATTAGGAGAATATGCTGTTGGTTGACTGCCAGCATACATTATCTCACCTTTTCTTTCTAAGATAGAACATATTCAATATATCCAAGGCTTCCAAGGCTTCAGTACTTCTCTAAGTTTACTGTCTCGTCTTCAGATTCAGGTATGATGTGATTACTCTAAGTATAGCCTGATTCTTTGCCAAAAATAAGAACAAAAATAAACATATGACCCAATTCAGCACAAAGGCAAATCAGGGCAAATTACCTTAAGAGTTTTTAAAATAAATGTTTCTCTTGGTGTCTCTTTCTTGGTCTTCTGGGTAGGGTTGTATCTGAATATGATGACCCTAAATGTCTGCAGACATTTTTGCAGCAATGTCAAGGGTAAAAGTGACACAGCCAATAGCAAAGAAGTGCCAGAAAATACGTAAGCAAACTGTGACCTCTTTTTACCTCTTGATTGACTTTTAGGTTAAATAATGAATGTACCTTATGCTTGAAAGAATTTGAAATAGTATTTGGCAGTGAAGAATTTACTCCTCCCATATTTTCATTCAAGAGAAATTTCCATGAGGAGGGTTGTTGGTGGGTTACCTCCAACTCAACCACTTCAGAGCTACTACAGTGATAATGCATGTTGAAGAAAAGAGTCAAACCGTGAAATATTTGAAGAGATTTATTCTGAGGCAAATATGAGTGACCTCGGCCTGTCACACAGCCCAGGAGATCCTGAGAACATGTGTCAAGGTTGTTGGGCTACAGCTTGGATTTATACATGTGAGGGAGACATAAGACATCAATCAGTACGCCTAAGATATACATTGGTAAAATCGGGAAAGGTGAGACAACTCAAAGCAGGTGGGGGTGGGGTGGGTGAAGGCTTCCAGGTTAAAGGTGAATTCGAAGATTTTCTGATTGGCATTTGAGAACTGGCTAAAATAATTTATCTAAAGACCGGAATCAATAGACAGGAGTGTACGGGTTAAGATAAGGTGTTTTAGAGACCGAGGTTCTTATGCAGATGAAGCTTGCAGGTAGCAGGCTTCACTGAGAATAGATTGTAAATGATTTTTATCAGACATAAAAAGGAAAAAGGACTTGGAATCAGGAAAAATCAGGAAAAAGACTTGGAAAGACAACGGGATTCTCTACAAAATGGAGATTTTCCCCACAGAAACAGCTTTGTAGGGCCATTTCAAAATATGTCAAAGAAATGTATTTTTTTGGTGAAATACTTTTTCTTTCAAGGCCTGCTATCTGTCATGTTGATATCTTATTGCTACGAAGAGTCTGTTTTGTCATTCTTAAGTCTCTACTTTAATGTTAACACTGTTCAGCTATGCATGAATTCCGAAAGGATGAAAGTAAATAACGAGGCATGTTCAACCACCCATTTCCATCATGGCCTCCATTACTGTTTCAGGTTTAGTTTAAAATGCCCTTGGCCAAGATAAAGGGCCCATTTAGTTGGTTAACGGACATTGAATTTTATTTTTGGTTTACATGCAGGTGCCATGCTCTCCTTAGGTTGCTCCCTGCCAATGCTGAGCAAGGAAGATATTACAGGGCTTTTCATTCTTGTCCCACGTGGACTCATCTAAAGGTCAAAATTCACTTTGGTGCTCTTTCACTGACAATTTCTCAGATCTGCACTCTTCTCTGAGGCTCCTCCTTTCCAATTATCTTTCATGCTCTCT
This sequence comes from Homo sapiens, assembly GCF_000001405.40. NCBI lineage: Eukaryota > Metazoa > Chordata > Mammalia > Primates > Hominidae > Homo > Homo sapiens. Next base: position 131,793,587 of record NC_000004.12, on the reverse strand, counting down.
CTTCTTTTGAGGTGCCAGGCTTGCATCATGATCTGGAGGCTCTTGCAGCCTCCTTTTGCTCTATCTTCTCTTTATTCTTCAAAGGCGTTTTCTCTGGTTACTGTATTATATGTGTAATTCCATCTTGGTGTCTGATTCTTGGGAAACCCAAACTGGCTTATAATTTTTCTTACTTTCAGTAAAAGCTTCTTTGCTGATGCATCATTCATTAATTCATTAAATGTATTGTGTTTTGTATGGGAAAACAATGATGCCAAAGTGTCTATAGCTATATAGTCTGATATGTGCTATAATAAGAATTTGGAAAAAGTATTATTGGTTCATAAAGGCAGAAATTTAGGAGGTTAGATACATTTAAAGTAAAATTTCATTAAAAAGTGTGAACTTAAATAGATTAAGATAACATGGGGTGTTTGTAAAATATATTAGTAAAATACAATGACATACCCAAAGTCCTGTTAAATCAAATTAAATATGGCCTGAGAAAAACGCCATACTTCTGTATTTCAGTCCTTGTGAATGAACTGCAACCTAACTCAATAGGTACACAAGACTAAAACCTAACTTAGGAGTATGCGCCTGTAACAATCGCTGAGTCTTGGCCAAGTCCAGCAGCCATACTTCAACTAGTCGCATACAGCTGAGTGTTCAAATAAGGCAAGTGCCAAGCCGTAATCAATCCAGCTGTTTCTGTACCTCACTTCTGATTTCTATACGTCACTTTACTTTGTATTGTCTATAAATTCATTCTGACCATGAGACACCGCTGGAGTCTCTCTGAATCTGCTGTGATTGTGGGGGCTTTCCAATTTATGAATCATTCATTACTCAATTAAACTGTAAATTTATTTTGGCTGAAGGTGTTTTTTTTTTTTTTTTTTTAGCAGTCCTCACCATAATGATCCATACACGTAAGTGTCTAATATAATCTTTCTAGCTTTCTTTTTTGGTTGTGTTTAGTCATACTGTTGCTGATTCAGCTTTGTACAAAATGTCGGAGCAAAATGACTATCAATAATATAGAGATCTGCAAGGATTCCCACACAGGTGAAATATGCATGGTGGAAAGAGGCAATTCTTAAGGCAAAGAGCCAAGCATGTACCAAACACCAATGCCCTTGCACACCAAAACTAAAGATTCTACAATTTGCCAAAGATAAGAATGTACCTTTCACGACAGCAAGGACCTCATATATTGTCTTATTATATATCCCTAAAATCTAGCACAGTGTTGAATAAGAGGAAGTAGAAATAATTTTGAGAAGGAATTAAACATGTATTTGTAGAAGTCAAGTCTTACCCATTGAAAAAATATCTCCCCCATATTTGTAATTCATTAAATTGTTTGGAAGGGAAAAGAAACTAAAGGGAATACTCCATAGAGAAAGTTGTTTCAGAAATTATGCAAATTTATTCTAATAACTAAGAAATAGTGAAAATGTATTAGAAAGGTTAGGTAGAGGCACATTTCAGATTTAGACTAAGGTGCAAATGGCTTTCTACTTAATGATAGAGAAAAGCGTAAATAAAAGTACATTGTATACATGAAATGGTTTTGTTTGAATTGGGTATAGAATATCAAATGAGAAATATATAATAAGGAATTGAATATATGGAAATACAGATATAGACGGCCAGAGCACCTACTTGTAGCTCTTGATAGCAGAATCATCAGTCAACTGAAAAGATATTTTAAGACCTCCAAGAATAAGTAGATAATTTCTCTTCTGTATTTTGTTAATGAAAGAAAACCAGGGTAATAACTGCTTGAATTTTCATCACTAGCATGTTTCCTACATACATAAACATAGTCAGTAGTGAGTATATTCACATATAAAGTAACAAAGAATTATAGCAAACCCCAACATCCAATCGGGAAAAATGTTTTAACTCTGTATATTCATTAAATTGTTCACAAACTGACATCTTTTAGCATATAATATGGTTTCCTTTAGCTTGTTAAAGAGAATGAACTCATGACTAAAACATAAGAACACCCAATGAAGCTCAACTGAATCAATTCAACTATGAAAAATAAAATGACTAGTGATCATCTCTTTATTATTATTGAAAGAATAACTTACAAGTAAAAACATTCAATTTTTGAAAACAGCTTTATATTTATTGAATTTATGCATATAATGTTAGTTGCATTTCAAAATAAAATGGCTGCCTTAAAAGTGATGCAAAATTACATATTTATACATTCTCTGAATTAAGCAGGATTAATTGAAAAGTGGTTATGAAGGCATGACTGCAAGGTACAAATTGAGCCTATTTTTAGTAACTTGCTCTAGCTGAGATGTTATATGTTCAGATTTGTTGACACGAAGCTTTATTGAGAAGCATTACTTATTCCCAATAACTCAAGGAGGAGCCTGTTTTGGGAGGAAAAACAACATGAAGTATGTTTTGTTGAATCAAGAGGATTTTATTTTTAGAAAACTACTAATGATTTTTTCTGAAAAGTGACTATTTTGAAATCTAAGAAAAGTCAAATATTTGATACTTAATGTAATTTGGAACTTGTCATAAAACTACTCAGTTTAGTTGGTCATAATATACTCATTCCTAACTTATTCCACTTTACAAAAAAAGTAAAAGAAAAGCATAAATAAATAAATAAGGAAAGAGAAACAAACAAGAAAAAACATTGGAAACTGACTAGGTAACAATTTATAGAATCAAGGATTAATTTCCACCAATTATGGCATGAATAAAACTAATCAACTAAAATATATTTTAAAAATCAAGAAGATAGTAGGAAAACAGCTCCCTGAGGACCCCTGGAACAGTAATTAGGCTGGCACTCTGTGCCTGTTAGACATTACCATTTTCTTTAATGTTTGTATGAAATGACGCCAATTTATCTTTAAGCAGTTTATCTTTAAGTTGCTAAAGTGATGCAAACAGCTGTCATGTAACAAGCACCAAGAGAGGACCCATTCTAGTTCACAAACTGCCCTGATGCTTTTTGTAAAAAACAATCCACTTCAGGATAATGTGTTGTTCCTGGTTTCTATGTCTCTTTAACTTCTTTAAATCAGAAGCATTCCATAGTCCTTCTTTAACCTTCATAGCATCCTAAACATTTTTTGAAGGTAATATTCCAATGGATTCTATTTTTAGAATGTCTCCCAATTTCGATTTGTCTGGTGTTTTCTCATAATGAGATGTCAAGACATACATTATTGGCAATAAAATCACCAACATGATGCTATGCTCTTCTTATCATATTTCTTCAGGTTATATATGAAATTAATTTTTCCCATCAGTGGTGATTTTAATTTTGATCATTTGAAAGGTAATGTCTTCCAGGTTTCTCTATTGCAAAGGTACTCCTCATTTGCTTTATATTGATATAACATGACAAAAAATCATATTTTGTATATATAGACTATCTATTGTATACATGTATATATACATGTAATTAATCTAAAATTAAGTGTTTTGTGGAGAGATACTTTGAGACTGTGAAAATATCCCATTTCTTCTCCAACATTTACCCACTAGGTTTAGCATCCATTGATGCCTCAAGACTCAATCAAATACAATGTGAAGATTTTCAAATGATAATTTTTTAACATACAATGTCAACCCTTTTCCTTTTATTGGTTGGCACTCTGTGGGAAAATAATAGTGTTTCCTTCTTTTATTCATTCGTTAATTCATGGATTTATCTCACGTGGACCCATGGATTCCTCTTTCTTTCAGTGGGCCATGATCTGTTCCTTTACTTATTTTATTGATTCAGTTTTGCTAATTTTGCTAGTAGGAACTATTCAAGTTTCTCAGCTCTTTTAACATGTCTTTCTTAGCATTTGAGCACTCCCTTATTTTCCTTGTTTTTTTTATCTCAGATTATGAATGGTCATTGCAAATCTATCAAAATATACTGGATTTCTGTATATTATATCCTGTGATCTAGATAAACACACAATTTTACTAACTTTTTTGCAAATATCTTTTTTATTTTCTGCACAGAATAATATCTGTGAAGAAAGACATCTTTCTTTCTAAACTGTATGTATTCTTACTTCTCTCATTGCATTGCTAAGACGTGTAGTATAAGCTTCAAAATAATTTATCAGACCAAGCATGCTTGTCTTTTTCTAGGTATCAGGGCAAAAATATTCAGTCACCTTAAAGTTATTGGAAAGTTAAGGTACATAGTATAAACCTTAGAGCACCCAACAGGACAAAATAAGCAAAAACATATGACTAATAATCTATTAGTTGAAATAAAATAAAATTCAAAATTAAACACTTAATCCAAGACAAAGCATCAAAAGTGGAAAATAGTAATAAAGAACAGATTAAATTTTATGGAAAATAAATTTTATGATAGTAGATTTAAGGCCAAAATATAGATAACAATATTAAATATAAGTAGTCTAAAACTACTATTTAAAGTAAGAATTTTAAGACTAAATTTAAAAAGTAATGTTAAATCAATATAAAGACAAAGATTGGTCAGAAAAAATAGGTTGAAGATAGCTGTACTTCGCCATGATACAGTAAGAGGAACTAAACTAAATTCTTTACAAAACAAACAAACAAAAAACAAAAACACACACATACAAATAAAAACTAAGTGCAGACAAAATATAATCAACAGTGATTTTTTAACCATTGACAAGAAGCTGAGGATGCTGATCCTTGATAAAAGAAAAAATAAAATCTGACTTATCCCAAGCTTTCTCTCAGTTTCCAGAAGACACAGTGAAAGGATAATCCAAAGAAAGTATAACTCTCCCTGTATATTGAGAAATTGGAGATTGGGGCTTAGAAAGGAAAATTTAGCTACAATTGCAGAGCTAAATAGAAGAGAGAGAGCATTTGCACAGAGATGGTGATATGGTATGGCTTTGTCCCCACCCACATCTCATCTTGAATTCCCATGTGTTGTGGGAGGGACCAGGTGGGAGATAATTGAATCATGGTGGCATGCCATCCCATTCTCATGATAGTGAGTAAGTCCCACAAGATCTTATGGTTAAATAAGAGGGAGTTTTTCTGAACAAGCTCTCTCTTTGCCTGCCGCCATCCATGTAAGATGTGACTTGCTCTTCCTGGCCATCTGCCATGATTGTGAGGTTTCCCCAGCCATGTGGAACCATAAGTCCATTAAACCTCTTTCTTTCATAAATTTCCCAGGCTGGGGTATGTCTTTATCAGTAGCATAAAAATGGATGAATACAGGAATATAGGAAGTGTCTGCTTTGTCCTGGCTTTTACCTTTGCCTGTAACACCACCCCAGAGGCTCACATGGCTTCTCCTTTCTCTTCAAGTCTTGCTAATCATTCCTTGTTGATTCCTTAAAATCAACACATATAAATGTGTATCCCTTTCTTAAGCAAGTGATCCCTTTCATCCTTTACCTTTCTGTATTTGTCAGTAGAATTAACCATCTGCTAGCATACTATAAAATTTACTTATGTATTGTATATATTATCTATTCTAGTGATATGATTTGGCTCTGTTCCCACACAAAATCTCATCTTAAATTATAATCAGATTTATAATCCCCATGTTTTGGGGGAGGCAACTCTGGGAGGTGATTAGATCATGGGGTGGTTCTCCCATGTTGTTCTCGTGATAGTGAGTGAGTTCTCATGAGATTTGGTGGTTTTATAAAAAGCTTTTACCCCCTGCACTCTGCAGTTTTCCTTCCTGCCACAATGTGCAGAAGGACATGGTTTGCTTCCCCTTCTGGCATGATTGTAAGTTTTCTGAGGCCTCCCCAGACCTGTAGAATTTTGAGTCAATTAAGCCTCTTTCATTTATATATTAAGGAGCATCTAGCAGCTCTTTATAGCAGTGTGAGAACAGACTAATACAACAAGTGAACAGGTATTTTTGCTTATTGTCCATTGTCAAAACAACTTATTGATTTTTACATTGACTATTGTCTATCTTCTATGGTTTGTTACCTGCAACAATAAGGTAATCAAGGGTCAAAATTTTTTGTTTATTCAGTAAAATGCTCTCAGTGAATTGGGCATTGGGTGGCACAGAGTAAGTATTTAATGTATCTATTAATTTTGTATATAAATGAATAAATTTTCTAAATTTTGCTAATAATGTTAACAGAAGACCCAAAAAGTATAATCAGTAAATTAGTTGTATTTTGAAGAAAAAAATTAATCTATGTAACAAATTAATGTAAAAATTCTCAGTATATACACTTGAGTAATAATCACTGTAACATTTACCTATTTAAAAAGAATAAAATTTAACAGTGAAGGCACCTGAGTCTGGAATTTGTTTCCCCTAAGAAGGTATTAAATTAAAATTCAGTATCTTTAATAAATCTAAAGATATGAAGAAATTTTATTTATTCTTGAGTAATTGTAAAGATTATTTTGCTAACCATAGAATTTATTCAACCATTATCAAATTTATTGGCATAAAGTTTTTGTAATTTAAGTCATTATCATTTTGATATTTGTAGTATCTTTACAACACCCACCATCTTCCCAACCTTGCCCACTTTATTTCCTGAAAGTGGTAGCTGACAGATTTCTGTCTTTGTATCTTTCTCAGACTATCTAGAATTTAATTCGTTTTATTCCTTTTATCAAAGAATCAGTTTTAAATTTCATCTTTTCCTTTTGTATTTCTGTTATGTCTTTATAAAATTTTAGTTTTTCTCTATATTTACTTTCTACTTCTTCTTGTTTAATTTGGTTTTCTTTTCACTTTTTCAGGTAGACATTTGTGTCATTAATTTTAGACATTTCTCCTTTTTCTAATACATACATTAAAAACTTCGTATTTCTCCAAAGGAATCCTGAAGTTGTAGTGTTTTTATTTTTATCCAGACCAAAATACTTTCTAATTTATCTTTTGATTTACTATTTGCTACAAGGCATCATTAGAAGTTTATTATATCTAAATATTTGGGGATTCCATTGTAGCTTTGGTTTTGTTTTTTATTTTAAATTTAATTCCGTTGGGTCAGAGAACATACTCTCCATGATCTAATCCTGTTAAATTTGTTGAAACTTTATTATTTGTTGCCTAACATGTGATGAATGTCAGTGCACTTGGAAAATAAAATGAGTTTTTGCTGGTGATGAGTATAATATTCTATGCATCCTAGAACTTGTTAGGTTATAATGTCATTAAATTTGTAGATATTTTCTTTAAAATTTTTTATTTACTTGTTTAATAATATCAGAAAATAGTTTTCAAATCTTTAAATATATTGTGGATTTGTATATTTTTCCTTTCAATTCTGTAAGTTTTTGGCTTGAGTATTTTAAATGCAGAATTGTTTGTTAATGTGTGAAAAAACATTTTGCATTATCAGGTTCTCTTGATGAATTGGACCAATTACATTGATCTTTATCCTGCTAAAAATATTTCTTGATTTGTGGCCCATTTTGTCTGATATTAATAGAAGTCTTCAGTTTTTATATACTTAGTGTTTATACCATAGAAATACTGCCATCCTCTTATCTTAAAAGGCTCCAGAAATTTGAACTTTCATGTAAAATATTTTCAATATTAATTTATAATATTTTATAACATTACATAGTAATTTTGAAAAAATATTTGTTATTTATATAAAAAGCCTACTGAGATTTTGACTGATATTGCAATTAATCTAGAAATAAATTTAGTAGAACTACCTTCTTAACACTATAAAGCATTCAAATTGTTGAACTTGGTTTATCTCTCCATTTATTTAGGTCTGCCTTAATGTCTCTCAGCACTGTATTGCAGTTTTCTAAGTATCAAACAGAATGGTTCATAGTGGATATTTCTGCATTCTTTCTTATAGTAGGAGGAACCATTTGGTATTTCACTATATTAACTATATTTTTAGATATGTTTATTACTTTTGAAATAATTTGTTTCTCTTGCCTACTTTTCTGTAAATCTTTATTATGAATACATGTAAAATGTCATCAAATGCTTTTCTACTTTTAATAAAATAATCCTATACAAATTTTTAAAATCAAAATGTAGGTCTGTAGTTTTCTGTTAATCTCTACCTATTTTTTTCCTTTAAGGGTAATATGTACCTCATATAATATGCTGTTAGGGTTGCTTCCTCTTTTATTTCTGTTTTATTTTGATTTTATTTATTTGCATAGAATTGTTACTATTTATTCTTTAAAGATTGTGAGAATACAAGAGTGAAACCTTCCTGACCTGGAATTATTTTGTGTGTGAGTTTCAAATTATAGATTTAATGTATTTAATAGTTGCAGGATTATTCATGGTGTCTCTTTATTTTTAAGTGAATTTTGTAAACTCTTTTCTCTCAAGTAATGTGTCTGTTTACCAAACTTTTAAAATGTATTTGCATAAAGTTTAAACACTGTGTGCTTACTATCATTTTATAACCTATAGTATAATTAGTGACAGTCTTTCTTTCATTACTGGCTTTAGTGTTTAGTATTTTTTCTCTTTTTTGTTGAGTATAGCTAGAATTTTTTCATTTTTTAATAAATTAGCTTTTTATTTTATTGATATTCCATTTTGGTGTTCTTTCAATTTTTATTGATTTTTGTTCTTATATGTATTTTATTATTTCTTTGTACCTTAGTACATTTCGTCTGCAATAGAAAAATACCTTTTTGTTGTGGCTTATAAACAACAAAATTTTATAATTTATAATAATATAAACTTATAACTTATAAATTTACTTCTCACAGTTCTGGAGGCTGAGAGGTCAGAAATCAAGGCACTCAAAGATTTGATGTCTGGTGAGGGCCCATTTCCTGGTCCATAGATGTTTCCTTCTCTCTGCATCCTCACGTAATGGAAAGTGCAAGGTAGCTCTCTGGGGTCTCTTTTGTAAGAAAACTACTCATTTACTATCCTTAAAGTAGTATTAATTTAGTACCCTTATAAAAGAGCCCCAGATCTCTACTTTCAGGATCTAAGCACCTCCCAAAAGACCCCATCTCCTAATACCATAAATTTGGGAGTTAGGATTTCTACATAGGAAATTCTAGGAGACACAAACATTCAGACAACAGCATTCTGTTTTGTTTGGGTTTAATTTGCTTTAGGAACTGATTAGATTCTTTTTTCTTTTCTAACGTAAACACATGGCACTATTACATTTATCTAATTTTTTATTTCTAAAAAATTTTTAATTATTATGGATACATAATACTTGCACATATGTATGGGGTACATAAGCATACAAGCATACGATGTACAATTATCAGATCAGGATTCTGATATTCATCACCTTAACATGTATAGTTTCTTTGTGTTAATATTGTTATCTTAATAAATTGACCCCTTCATAATCAGTGAGTATATTTTCGATCACTGGTAATATATTTTGTTCTGAAATACATTTAGTTTGACATTAATATAGTAACTCTAGTTTTCTATAAATATTTTTTCATACTACACACACAGATATCTATGTATTTACATTTATAGTAGAATTTTAGTAGACAGAATTAGATTTCTGATTTTTCATTGATGTGTATGAATGATTTACATGTAATGTAATGTGATTATGAATAAGCTTAGGTTTAAATATACCTTCCTGCTATGTTTTCTATTTATCTTATATGCTCCTTGCTCAATTATTTATCCTTTTTTTACATTTTGTAGATTAAATATGTACTTCATTATTTTTGTTATTTCTACTATTGGTTTACTAATGTACTTCTTTTTTAGGTTCTGCTTTAAGGTTTAAAATATAAATACTTCTGCTTTAAGGTTTAAAATATAAATACTTCTGTTTTAAGGTTTAAAATATAAATACTTCTACTTTAAGTTTTAAAATATAAATACTTAGCTCATCACAGCCTACTTTCAAATAATAGTACATCACTTGATATGCAGTATAATACATTGCCAGTTTTTTTCTGCAGACACACATATACATCTCATAAAATTTTACTTCTGCCTTAGGAATCTTTCTTATAAATGACAATGGAGGATGGCTAACAATGAAATTCTTCAGATTTTGTTCAGTGCTGAGACAACGTTGAGATGAGCAAATTACCTCTGGTGAAAAACTTAATGAGGCACTCTCTCGGGTCACACAAGGCCCAAGTCTTGCACTCTCAATCTCAAATATATAACCCTGAAAGTGAGTAGCTCTTTAGGTTTTGGGACCTAGTTGTGTCATTTACTTTACCCTAGTTCCAAACCTATTTTTAATTTTCTAAAAATAAACGAGCCCTATTTTACTTTAGTGCTTAAAATTTTCTACTTGTTATAAAAATGTAGATTAAGCTGTTTTTTCTTATTTAGTTATTTATGATTGCTCCATTGTCTCCAAGCTTTCATAGTTTCTGAAGAAAATTGCCCGTATTTGTGTGTGTGTGTGTTTCTTTTGATGTGGATTATTTTTTCATCTCTGATGCCTTTTAAGATTTTTCTCTTTATCACTGACTTTCAGAAATTAGACAATAGTTTACCTTGCCGTTTTGTCTTTATTTGTGATTCTAATAACATTTTGGCAATCATTTCTTCGAATTTTTGGTTTTGTTCTTCCCTGCCACATACACACGTACATCCACTCAGTCTTCTTCTGGGACTCCATCTCTTCTTGTATTATGCTGCTTGATATTGTCCAACACAGTGTGGTTGTATTTTCAAATGTGTCTATGTTTTCTGTTTTGGATAGCTTATATTGTTATGTTATCAAAATCACTGGTATTTTTTCTACAATGGTTAAAGTGCTGTTAAATTTATTCATACATTTTTAATCTAGTATACTTATTTTTTCTGTTTTAGGAGTCTGCTTGTTTGTTTTTATTTCTTCCATTTTTATTTTCTCATAATATACATATTTTCCCATCTTATTTGAAAAAATAAAGCATATTTTTAACACCTGAATTAACATGTTTCAACACTAATTATTATGTTCATCGAAACCAGATATTGTGAATTCTATATTGTGTTGTGATGGATTTTGTTGAATTCCTTTTGTATATTTGTATTTTGTTCTCAAACATAGTTAAATTATTTGGAATCAGTTTGATGCTTTTAGAGATTGCTATAAAATTTTCTTAGAGAAGATATAGAGTTGCTTTAGGTTTAGGAATGAGTGAGTTCCATCACAAAAGCAGGATTCTTCCAAAGATTCTCCCTAATAGCTCATATATTACCCTGTCTTCTACTGTGGTTTGTGGCAACAATAATATTTGCAGAGCTTTCTGAGCTTTGAGAATTGTTCTTCAGACCCTTTGTGTTGGCATTTTACCCCAGGCTTCAGTTATTTTCTCTCATGTATTCACAGTTTAGTATTCAATGAAGGACTCAATAATTTCCTGGGAAGGTCTGCAGACACACAGTCATCTGTATTCATTAGCATGGGCTGCTATAACAAAATGCCATAGACTGAGCAGCTTATAAACCACAGAGATGTATTTCTCAGTCTAACCTCACATGGTGGAAGAGGGAGGGGTCTCCCTGTGGCACCTTTCATAAGGGCTCCACTTCCATGATCCAGTCACCTATCAAATGGCCCATTTTTTAATATTATCACCTTGGTGGTGAGAATTTTAATATACAAATTTGGGGAGGTCAATTAGACCAGAGCATAATTCTTGGCAGATAAAAGAAGCCATAAGAAAGCTGGTGTGATCAGACCAGAATGAGCCAGAGGGAAGTTTTAAGATACAATAAAATATTAGGCTAGACTATCAAAGTACTTTGTCATTACAAATTATATCTTTCAGGTGAAATCTACCCAGTCCTTGCTTGTACATCTTGCTAAAGTTTTAATTTTTCCATTAATTTCATTATATTTTTCATGTCTTTCCTATCAATTTAATTTTCAATTATCTTCACTTCTTATACATACTGCTATATATTATTTAATCATTCTGCCTTAAATTCTTTTGTGTACAGTTATAATACTTCAGCCTAGTTTACTAGGAACTCATTATAGTTGTTCCTCTGTATTTGTGGGGTACTGGTTCTAGGAACCCTCAGACACAAAAATCTACAGATGCTCAAGACCCTTCTATAAAATGATGTATAATAGTATTTTATACACCTACATCCACACTGTCACATACTTTAAATCATCTCTAGATTTCTTATGATACCAAGTACGATGTAAATGCAATGTAGATAGTTATACTGTGTTCTTTAGGGGATAATGACAAGGCAAAATTCCATATGTGTTCATATTGTCATAAATGTTTTTCCAAATATTTTTGATCCATGGGTGGTTGAATCCACACATGCAGAACCTATGGATATGGAGGTTCCACTGTACTTTTTTCTGTCCTCCTAACTACATATTGGTTTCCATTTTTGTCTTTATTAAATCTTAAATTGTAGTAATACTACAAATTCGATCTTTTCTATTGTTTCATTTTTTTCTGTTTCTTGAACAGTACTCTGTTTCTGTTTCAATGCATTAGTATCCACTTATTTATGTTTACCAAAATATTATACAGTCAAATAATTCAGGAAGACTTTGAAAATTTAAAGTCAGCAGATTTGTATTAGCCTTAATTATATCATCTGTAATAAATCAGGTTATCCTGTCATTAGGATTAAATATTAAAATCTGTTTAAGACATCTTAAAGAATATTTGAGATATTATATATACTTAATATGGATATTTGTTTTCTTCCCTTCATTTTCTGATTTATTTTAGCCTTTTCATTTGTGTGGTTTTATGTATCTTACAGTTACATAAACTCCTTAGTATCTGGAAACTTGTCTTCTTATTTTAATGTACCATTCATCTCCTTAGCACAATTTCTTACACATATATGTTCTACAAATGTTTATTAAATGAATTAGTGTCAACTACATGCATGCTTTATTCATTAAGCTGTCAAAGGATTGATCTGCTTTACGGCTTTGTCAAACTATAGAACTTTAATTCTTTTGCCATATTTTAAAAATAATACATGTTTAGGTAATAAAATCAATATTCATACTCATAAAATAACAGATTGTAAAAGCATTGCAGGCTAACCACATACATTTTGGAAAAGAGACTGAAATTAATTCTTAAATTCTTTCAAATTCTTCATCTTATTTACTCTTTTTATAAAGTAAATGTTTATCTTGTATTTTAGTTTTAAGCTCTTAGAATCTTCAACAATATAGTTTTTGTACATAAAATATTTAAATCAACTTAATCTATGTACATGTTATAAACTAAGTTCAAGTAAAATTACATAAAATGCAACAATGCATTTATTTTTCTATTCATATTTTTCTAATAAATCTTGTAAGTTTAAATAATTATTTTAGTTAAGGCTATGAAATTCTACCTAGGCAGGTTAGGGGTTAATTTCCCAATTTATATGCAAACTGAACAATTTTCTCTGGGCTCTTTATCATTTCATCTTTCCACTTAACTTTCTCTATTATAACCAAATAATATTTATTGTATTTTGCCCCATTTAAACTAATGAATAAAAATTTCCCTCAGTGTAAACTCTATGTTGATGTGTCAAATAGAATATTTTATTCCCTGTGTGTTTTGAGTAGTAGCATCTTTAATGTTTTATCTATTTAAATTTGTACAAGGCATATTAAACATCCGAAATGAACACAGTACTAATTAGCATAAAGTCAATGTTAGCCTTAGACTTTACAGGTAAGTCTACAGAATACAGAAAGAAAAAATATAATGTCATATGTACTTCTTAAACAGTTGTATCAGTGGAAAAACTGATGATGCATTCATGTTTTCCTCAATATTTAGTGAGGAGAGCAAAAATGAGTAATAGGAAGGCAAGAAAAAATATTAACTGTGTCACTGTAACAGGCACTAGACGATGAGGTCATAGAATGTATTTATCTTTATTTATTCAGAAATTAGCTCCATACCTAGCACATAAACACTCCCATCTCAGGTCTCAGTTCACTTGTGCTTCTGTAACAAAATAGCTGAGACTGATAAGAACAGAAACTTGTTTCTCACAGTCCAGGAGGCTGAAAAGTTCAAGACCATGGTTCTGGCAGGTTTGGCACCAAGTGAGGTCCCAGTTTCTGCTTCTAAAATGGTAACTTGAATGCTGTGGCCTTACATTAGCTAGTTCCCTTCAGCCCTTTTGTAATGCACTAATCCCATCTATGAGTACAGAGTCCTCATGACCTAATTACTCCTAAAAGCCTGACTTCTTAATACTATTGCATTGAGGATTAAGTTTCAAAATAGCTTTTAGAGGGGAGACAAACATTCAAGCTAAAGTATAATAATTCATAATTTTAGAATGAATGAACAAAAAGTCACTTGCATTTAAATGTGAAAAGGTAGATACTTTCGGTGTCAGTTATTTTCTGTACAATTGCCATTATTCCTCATAAAAATTCAGAGCAATCAGTTGGCTTTCAATTAAATTTACACATTAGTTATAAACATTTTAAATGTTAACTCTGTTTCTACCCTTCATGATATTTAATATGTATATTAATTTTACAAGAATTACTTAAATAGTTTTCTTCCAATTTTCTAATTCTCTTTCCCTTGTTGAAATGAACAAACACACAAAATATCAAGTGACAGACAATGCATTGCTAATGTCTTACTTTGGTAAGATACTTTCATTAGTATTTCGAATAGAACTGAGATTTTTATTTTTATATATTTTTTAACCAAACCTCACTCATATTATAGATGATCTGAAGTATTAATGTAATACAAAACCATTGTATTTCTTGGCACAGGGAAAAAATGTGGGTCATGTCAAACACCTGCAATGACAGTAAAATCATGTCACAAATAGATAAGCTAATTATGTTGAAAAATGATTATGCACACACTATGTAAAGCATTGTCCTTTTCCTCTGTTGGAGGGCATTTATTCATAGACATCATGTGCACTTTCTTCCCAAAGGGTAAGGTTGACCTAGAGCCCTATGGACGACCCTTTATAGTTAAGCTTGCCAACTACTTGTCAGAAATGATTAGTGAGAAATGTTGGAAAGAAAATTTCCCCTGTTGATAACAGGGGGCAAATAGAAGATGCCCTGAAGTTGTCATAAGGAATCACATTTTTTTCAATAAGAATATTTTTTATTTGATAATATCTAATATCACAGATCAACCTTTATTTATACATATTCTAGACATGTATTGAACTTGACAGGTTTTGGTAATAGAAAATTCTGTGGCAACTCACAAAAGAGTATGTGTGCATTGTAATCATTTTTATTATAAATAATAACTGTGTCTTTTCTTGATAAAATGAAGATATAATAAATCATGATTTCCCCTCAATCATATCTTTTAGAAACTGAGTTTATGTGTCTTTGGATTTATAATAATCCCAAACTCACATTTTATGTTAAAATACTCATTAAAATGCGATAATTTATTACAACTTTATTTTGGATTATATTCTGAATGTCTTACAACATAAGAGCTAAAGAATGCTATACATTTTTTGAAACAGATTTACATAAGCCTCACCGTCTGTATTATGAAATCAATATTAATGTTGGAGTAACATTTTGATCTACTAGATTCATAAAATTAGTGAGAATTCTTCAGTATTATTTTGAATCCTCTCTTTATATCTCTTAATAATACAGATAACACAGATTTGAGCTACAGGAAAATGTAATATGCATTGTGTTTGAACAAAGTGTGTTATAATTTTGGATGTACGTCAACCTATACTGCATCCCTATGTTGTGTAAGACTGAATATCCTAGATCATATTGGATTATTACAGTCAATAATATTTTACATTAAACATCAAAAAATAATATGGCATTCATTTATAACCCAGAAAAATGAGTAACTCCCAGGAGAAATTTAGTTTTCATTGCTCCTTATGCTAATAACTTTAAAGTTCAAATGCTAACTTTCTATCTCCATTTTATTTAGAATGTATAATAAATCTTTCATGAAAAAAGATGGATTTCTTTTTTTTTTTTTTTTTTTGAGATGGAGTCTCTCTCTGTTGCCCAGGCTGGAGTCCTGTGGCGTGATCTCGGCTCACCGCAAGCTCCACCTCGTGGGTTCACACCATTCTCCTGCCTCAGCCTCCTGAGTAGCTGGGACTACAGGCACCCGACACCACGCCTGGCTAATTTTTTTTGTATTTTTAGTAGAGGCGGGGTTTCACCGTGTTAGCCAGGGTAGTCTCAATTTCCTGAGACTATCAAGGCGTGATCTGCCCGCCTTGGCCTCCCAAAGTGCTGGGATTACAGGCATGAGCCACCACGCCTGGCCTCTATTTTTGAAAGTTACCTTTTGTCATTTTTTTATCTGCAGTAGTGTGGATTAGAAACCTGGCTCAGTCCTACCACTAAAATAATTCTTAAAAGTTGGATGAAACATTAAAAAAATCTTGCTTTAGTGTCACAACGATCAGTCAAGAAGACAACAATTTTACGAAAATTAAGATTTTACCTTGAGAGCATTCTCTGGTCCTGATAAGGATGAGGCCATGTTTCTTGGGATTGTAAAAAGCGGGGGACCACAGACAAAGCTCAAAGTCCAGCCAAATTGGAAGTGTAGTAAGAGAACACTCTTACACTATTGGTGGGAGTGTAAATTAGTTCAACCATTGTGGAAGACAGTATGGTGATTCCTCAAGGATCTAGAACTAGAAATACCATTTGAGCTAGCAATCTTATTACTGGGTATATACTCAAAGGATTATAAATTATTCTACTATAAAGACACAGGCACACGTATGTTTATTGCAGCACTATTTACAATAGCAAAGACTTGGAACCAACCCAAATGTCCATCAATGATAGACTGGATAAAGAAAATGTGGCACATACACACCATGGAGTACTATGCAGCCATAAAAAAGGATGGGTTTGTGTCCTTTGCAGGGACATGGATGAAGCTGGAAGCCATCATTCTCGGCAGACTAACACAGGAACAGAAAACCAAACACCACATGTTTTCATAAGTGGGAGTTGAACAATGAGAACACATGGTCACAGGGAGGGGATCATCACGGAGGGGCTGTAGGGGGTGGGGGCCTAGGGGAAGGATAACATTAGGAGAAATACCTAATGTAGGTGACGAGTTGAAGGGTGAAGCAAACCACCATGGCACATGTATACCTATGTAACAAAACTGCAGGTTCTGCACATGGACACAGGGAGAGGAACATTACACACCAGGGCCTGTTGGGGGTGGAGGGCAAGGGGAGGGAGAGCATTAAGACAAATACCTGCATGTGGGGCTTAAAACCTAGATGACGGGTTGATAGGTGCAGCAAACAACCATGGCACATGTATACCTATGTAACAAATCTGTATGTTCTGCACATGTATTCCAGGACGTAAAGTGAAATATAAAAAAAAAAAGAATGCCCTTTTCTGGGGTTCTCACTAATATGACCTGTGTAACTTGAAAATCCTCAAGACAGAAATTTAAAGTTATCTCATTCTGTTTATAACCCTGGGTCCTTGGTACAAACAAATTTATATAATCCTTTTGGGAACCCTATTTCAATTCTATCCTAAAATTATTTGCATAAATATACTTCCATTAGTTAGGAATTGACAGTAAAACAAAACAAAACACACAGAGAAAGATGGTGCATGAAAAGAATATAGGAGGAAAACAGGGAGATAAAAGAATCACATGAAGAAAGACTCCAGATACTGGAATTATAAGAATGTATAACAAACAAGTTTGAATTAAGTAAGAATTAAAATGAATGATTTAAAAGTTTAATTCAAACAATAGTAAACACACAACTGACACATTCATAATATATTAGAGATAGCTAAAGTGATAATAACCACATAATGTAAAACATAGTTAAATTCACTGTGACTATTAAGAGATGTATAAAAATGAACAATAAAGAGAAAGGATTAAGTGATATGAAAGACAGAATGAAAATGACTATCATATATTAAACTGGAATCTAAGATATTCATTAGTGAAATTCACTGACATACCTAATGAAAGACATCAAATTCTCAGATTCAGGAGAAATAAGACATTACACTCAAGATACATAAGATGAATTCATTCCTCGGCACACCTAAGTTTTTATCATAACCTGTACCTTCAATCATCTTCATTCTTCCTGACCTGATCTATTTTTCTCATCGTATTTACCACCTTCAAACATATGGTACATATCCTATTTACTTTGGGTATCTTATATTACAATATAATCTCAAAACAGATTTTGTTGATTTTATTTACGAGATGTAACCAAAGGGCCTAGATTATCTTTATAGCATAGTATATGTTCAAAATTTATTACCAAATAAATATAAAGTACATTTATGAAAGGTGAAGGAGAATATAAAACAGAGGGAAGATCTTCAGAACTACCACAACAAAATGACACATAACTTAAATGTCAAAATACCAACACTGATTTCTTATCAACAGCAATAAAAAGCAGGAAAAAATTTGGAAAATATCCTCAATGAGTTTAGACACACTTCTATACATTAGAGGTTTATAAAACACAAAAACTCCTTTTATAAATGAGTCAAAATAATGACATTTTAGACAAAGAATAACAGAAAATTTATCATCCAAAAGCACCTTCTAAAGAAATCTCAAAAGACAAATTTCAAACAAAGGAAAATGATCACAGATAAAAGATTTGGGATAAATAAATAATAATGAGAAAAATAGAATATATACGGGAGGTATAAAAAAGAAAATAAAATTTACTTCAATACAAAATTGAAATGTGTAAAGATGTTTTGGTGGGGGTCTCCATTGCTTTTCAGCTTTGATTATTTATTTAAAAAACTCTCAGAACTCAGAGAAGCAATTATACTCATGTTTATCGTTTATTAAAACAAAAGGATGCAGATTCTTATCAACAAAGGAAAAAGATTCTCAGGGCAAATTCCAGGAGACTCCAGGCACAAATTTACAAGTGTCCATCACAGTAGAATCACATGCAGATACACTTCAATCTCCCAGTAATGCTGCATACAACCACATGTGAATTCTTGGCAATTAAAGCAGCTTATTTATTTTTTGATGTCCCAGGTTTTTATTGGTGGTTAATCACATAGGCATGCAATGCCCACGTGGCAAAACTCAGCAAATTCAGCTTCCTTTCCATGATCCCTCTAGAACAAAAGCAGGCTTTCAGCATAAATCATATCTTAGAATAAACGTATCTGGTTAAATTGATACCACATGGTTCAGATAAATACAGCATGACTCAGGGCCTCAGGCATATAAAGTCAGTCATTCACCATAAACCCAAGGCCTCAGATATACAAAAACACTCTTCACGGTAAGACTGTTTCCAGAACTCAGAAGCTAGCTAGTCCTAAAAACAAACCTTACCTTTGAATGTGCAGGGTTGAAGAAACCCTGGCCTGCTGAGTTAACACATTCTTCCCTAATCCATATTTATTGTCCCTGGACTAATCTCTCCTGTAGCAAAACAAGCATATTTTTCTGAGCATCTACATTGAGTACAGCATTTATATGACAGTAACAACAGTAATATTAACATGAATATGCCTAGCATTTTATGGACACAGTGTAGGGTAAAGATTGATTTTTAAAAATTACTAATGCATCCTACAAGGCCATTACATACACTTTAATATTTTGTACAAACCAAATTACTCATTCCTCCTCTCAATTTGCTTTTATTTTTACCTTTTGATAAATCTGTGCAGAACTATTTAGCATTGAAATTAGATAATGGTTAGCTAAATTCTGTTTTCTCAGGCCATTTATTATTCACCCAGATTACATTCTGAAGAGGCTTTAACTCAATATCTTAATACATTTGATTATCAATATAAGCATTATATAACTTCTCTACATAAGATAGTTGAATCTTACCAACAATACCAGTGTAATGTCATATTGCAGTATGGTCATGTTACAATTCAGTTTTATTACAGAAAAAGTTATTAAGAACGATAGAGCTATTTGTTACAGCTACTCAACATAATTGGTTCTTGTCTTTATACCGTACAGTACTATAAATAAGTATTATTACTACTCACCATGATTTGATTATTTCTGGGTTTCTAATGGGTTGTGGACTTAGCCAGTCACCCTGTCTCAGTTCACAGGCCCTAATTGACACTGGTCTCTACTATATGCTGTCATACACCAGGATACACTCCCTTCCTATAGACAAGACACAAGAATAAGAATAGTTTATATCTCTGCTACCTGTGCTACAGGATGTCTTATCCTTATCTATTCTTGGGGCAATGGCAATAATAATGAATTAATATAAATTATGAGTGACCTCAGAGATGGGGTCCCTAAGATTATATAAATGTGTCCTTCTGCATCTAAGAAGAACCATTGCCCTATGGTTATTTAGGCCTCCATCTGCGTTAAAGTGATAAAGTGATGCTATTGAGTCATAATACAAGCTCATTACCGGTGCTGGGTCCTAGCATTATCCATCATTAATTGTTGAGTCTACCTTACCCAGTTCACTAAAACTTCATCATTTTTTCCAGGTTGAATCCCATCCCTTCCTCTCTCATAGATGAGAATTCCCTCTAATCTATTTATTTTAGTTAATAAATCTTCTTTCCTTAAAAGCCATTCATGATTAAAAATGAATTCAGCTTTTCTCACAATGCCTAGATCAGCATCTATCTCCCTGAAGGTTTTTTTCTGTTTGTAGGCCAATGCTTAACCCAAGATGGTTGTTGTCATTGTGTACTAGACTTAACTGGAATGAGGAACCATATTTTACACTCCAGACTATTTGGTTCTCAGTATGAGGATAAAAATAAGAAAAAAACAAAACAACAAACAAACAACAACAAAAAACAAGAGTTCTCTACAATTTTCGAGAAACAGAAGAGGAAGAAATGTTTCTCAATTCATTTTATGAAGCAAGCATGACACTTAAACAGAATAAGACAAAGATGATAAAAAAAGAAAAGGAAAAAAAACAAACAAAACTTTAGACCAACATAACCTAGATGCAAATCTGCAAATCTACAAGTATACCCTAGATGCAAAATCCTCAATAACTTGAATACGACACTATGTAAAAAAGTGACACACATGACCAAGCCGTGTTTATTCCAGAAATGCAAGACAGTTTCAATATTTAAAAAAATCTAATAATATAGTTCACCATATTAATATTCTAAAATAGGAAAACACATGATCATTTCAATAAATGCAGGGGAAAAAGACAATATTCAACAGTTACTTGTGATAAAAATTCAGCAAACCAGAAATAGCAGAAAATTCCTTCATCTTGATAAAGAGCATACAAAAAAATCCATCATATTTAGCTGTGAAACACTGAATGTTTTCCACATGTATGCTCAGGAATAAAGCAAAAATGTTTGCTTTTATCACTCTTTTTCAACATAATACTTAGAGTTCTATCCAGTGTGTAAGGAAAAAAAGGGAGAATAAAATAAATGCAGATTGGAAAGAAATAAGTAAAACTGTTCCTATTTGTAAATAATATGATTATATATGTAGAAATTTATACAGCATTTAGGAGAGAGAAGGAATGTAGAAAAGGGAGAGGAAGGGGGAGGCAAAAACAAAGGGGAAGGAGAAAGTAAAGGAACAGTGGAAGGAGAAGCAGTGTCTCACAAAATTAAGAAGGATTTAGCAAGATCAGGACAAAACGTAAAAACAGGTTTCCTGATATTTTTAACTGCATTTCAATAGCTTTCCAAACATAAATATTTTTCAGGTAGTTGAATGCTTTGGTCAATTTCGAGAGTGATGGAAGGCTGTTTTAATGAATTTATAGTGGCCTTTTGTGTAGAGGATTTGCTGGTCTTTTCAAATGACCATAGTCCACATTGATGGGTTGATTGAATATGGAAACCATCTTGAACTCCCAAGATAAACGCCAATTAGTAATGATATATTTTACAAACACACATGCATGCACACACATACACACACAGACATGAGAGGATTTAATTGGATAATAGTTTGCTGAAGTTTTTGAAATCTAAATTCCTCATCTAAATACATATTTGTCTACAGGACATTTTCTTGTAATGTCTTTTTTAAGGTTTTGGTATGGGGATAATGGTAGACTAATAAAACATGTTGAAAAGTGTTTCCTCTTTTTTATTTCTTAAAGTTTTGTGTAAAGTATAAATTATATCTCCTTAAATATTAGTAAAATTTGTCAGTTAGTTTATCTAGGTGGGTATTAATAAATTTAAAACATATATATAGGGATGTTCATGTTATTGCTTTCTTTTTGAGTTTGCCTTAGTAGTTAGTCTCTTTTGAGGGATTTGTACATTTAATCTAAATTAACTAATTTACATTTATAAATTTCATCATGGTATTCATTTAGTTATCCTTAAACTGTTGTAGGACAATGGAAATGTTACTTCTATCATTCTTTTTTTTTTGTTTATTTGTTTTGAGACAGAGTCCCGTTCTGTCGCCCGGGCTTGAGTGCAGTGGCCTGATCTCCACTCACTGCAAATTCCACCTCCCAGCTTCAAGCAATTCTTGTGCCTCAGCCTCTCGAGTAGCTGGGAATATAGGCATGAGCCATCACGTTCGGCTAATTTTTGTATTTTTAGTAGAGACAGAGATTCACTATGTTGGCCAGGCTGGTCTGGAACTCCTGACCTCAAACGATCTGCCTGCCTTGGCCTCCCAAAGTGCTGGGATTACAGGCATGAGCCACCACCCCCAGCCACTTCTATCATTCTTAAAATTTGTAAATTATTTATTTCCTATTATTTTCTCCTTAGTCTGGCCAGAGATTTAACAATTTTATTGATCCCTTCAAAGATCTAAGTTTAGTTTAATTTACTTAGCTATATAATTTTTCTCCATTTAATGTTGTTTATTTCTTCATTAACCTTTATTATTTTCTTCCTTCTGATTGCTTCAGAATTAATTTGTTCTCATTTTTATAATAACAAGCTGGAAGCTTTCATCATAATTTCAAGGTAATTTTTCTTTTCTAATGCAAGCTCTTAATGGGATAGATTTTTCCCTAAACACAGAAATTTCCACATTTTGATATGTTACACTTTTTTAAATTTCTCTTACTTTTGGCTAGGTTCATGTTTAAATATACATATGTGCAAGAATATTTTCCCTTGATTTATATGGATTTAGAGGTTAAAAAAAGGCAAAAAAATTATTTTGGAAATTTCTAGGAGACTTAGTTCACCATAATTGTTACATAATTGTGCATATGTTGCAAGTAATGTATTAAGAAAAGTATTTATATCTGTATACATTTGGTCCTTAATGATGAAATTAATGCACAGTTGTCTAACTATAATAATTTCCTTATAATCACACTAGTTTTCCTTTGGTTCCACAAGATGATGAACCTCACTTTAGTGTGACCAAGCAAAATGAGGTACAAAAACAGTCCAATTAATGTGAAAATATCTCAAATTCATATGAATTTTTAAAATATTTTATATGTAAATTAAATTAGAAATTAAATATATAAAATATTTTATTTCAGAAATATTTGCTTGCCTTTTGGGAATCAAAGTTCAAAATCTTCTATTGTCATCTTTAAATAACTAATTTTTAAGTTAATTTCTACTTGGTTCTATGAAAATACTACCACACAATATGGACATAAAGAAAACATTTACAGAAAAATTGTCCATATGGACACATTTTAAACAGATGATCTAATTAGCATGGTAGCCACCAAACTGGTAAATAAACAGTTTTGTTGATTTGCTGCTTAATCAGCATCTATTCAGAATTCTGTAATATTGTTTAGTAAAACAGTTTATTTCAATCCATAAATGTATTTTATAAATTTATGCCTGGTAAACTTCCAGGTAAACCATCGAAATATTAACTGTTTTCTACAAGTGATGGTCTTTTTTTTTTTAAGCTACTTTCTATAGTGAATTGATGAGAGTTAATGAAGATTAAAATGCTTATTCTGTAATAAAAGCCAATGCTGGCATGCTGATATATAATCTCTATAGATCAAAAAATATTCATGCCTTATTCTCAGATTTTTAATAGTGGCACTAAGTGGTCTTAAAAATTTATTATTTAGACACCTTATCCTATATTTTAAAAACATTTTCTTAGTATACTGTGGATGTTATTATACAAGTCATATAATGGATAGAGAATTTCTTACGTAAATTTACAATATAATTTTTTTAAATAAAACTTTTGTGAAATTATTTTCAAATGTTATAAATGTTAATCAGTTTTGTTATATTGGTTCCAATATTTCTCATATATGGAAAATGTCATTTTCCCTGGGAATTAATATTTGGAGCTGGTGTTTAAGAAAAACCATGTTTGATGTTGGAAAATGCTATGTCCGGTATAACTATAGATGTTTGGAAAGCAGCTCAGTTATGCTAAAGATAAAGAAAGGAGAGAAAAATGACAGAAGGGGAGGTTTGAACAAAACAAAATAATACCTGAAAATGTTGAATGGATATGTAATATTTGTGAATGTTTATGTTCTCTATTTCACCATTATTTAAACATTTATATTTTCAAAGGGAGACAATAATTATATTTTGAAATCATTTTATTTTTTTACAGAGTGCTGCATTTTTTCTTTTCAATTTCAATTTGGTGAGCAAGCAAAATCGGTCAGAATATTATACATAATTAGGTTTCCTTTTTGAGATTTGTTGAAACTCTTTATCCTTTATGTATGTATTTCAAGTAGTATAATAAAAAAGAAATATAAAATGATTAGATATACATAAAAGTATTGTAGATTATGTTTTTGATATTTTCTTTCTTTTAATATATTTTGCAGATATAGCCATTCCAGATTATGATTTCACAAACTAAGATGATTCTCAGTAGGGAAGCGTTACTGCATGTCGTTTTCATCAAAGGGAGCTTAGTTTATTTGCCTGTCTGAATATTGACATTATATTACTAATTTACACATTGGGGAAAGGGTCAAGAGAACTCCAAATTTTTGTTGACTTGATATTAACCTGAAAGGGGAATGTTAATAACTGACAAAATATTTCCACAGTAGTTAGACATCAAGATAAAGTTGTGTTTTTTAATCTACTTCATATTGTTGAATTATTTAGATAGATAGATAGATAGATAGGATTGATTTATTAGATGTACAGGAAATAGAATTCACTGGTGGGCTGAGTAAAGAGGGGGCAGCTCTTTTCTAATGCAGGGCTAGCTGCTTGTCCAGGGGCCCATGATTCCAGGGCTATATCTAGCCCCACAGCCATCCAGGATGAGTTGTTTCTCAGCCACCAAGTCTTAAAATGTATATGCATTAAACTTAGTAAAATTGCACTTCTTTGAGATGTGGCTTTTTGGGCATTCACTGAACTTGAACTTGGCCCTAAATAAGTTCATCCTTGGTATGGATGAACATGGCCAATGTGAACTCTGACCTCTGGGTCCTGAGGCTTTCCAAAGGCATACTACATCCGGTCTTAAACCTAGACTAGGGAAAGCACTAGATCCGAGACATAAATGTCCAATGGCTGTTGTACACAAGGAACAGGCTGCTGTACACTACCTAGGATGCTGCTGTTTGCAGCCCTTGCACACCAGGCCCCATGAGAAAAAGAGCTGTGTGGCTTAATTGATTGTAGAAATTATTTTATATATTAAGTTTTTGGGGAGTAGTATCTTTTATTCAAGATAGCTAAATGTAATTTATATTAGACCATATACAGTAAGTTGTAAATTATAGAAGTTGTGCATATCAAAATCATACTCAGTGGGCAATATGGCCTTTAATATAATAAAGTTTATTGACAAAAATTAAAATAAAATCATGTGGTTTTGTAGTGCTCTTGTATGTTAACTAAAACAAATTAATAAAACCTATGAAACCCATAATCATTTAAACTATCTACTTACACTTTGGGAGGCCAAGGTGGGCAGATCACCTGAGGTCAGGAGTTCAAGACCAGCCTGGACAACATAATGACATCCCATCTTTACTAAAAACACAAAAATTAAACAGGCGTGGTGGTGCATGCCTGTAATTTCAGCTACTCAGGAAGCTGAGGCAGGGAGAACTGCTTGAACTCGGGAAGGGGAGGTTACGGTGAGCCAAGACTGGGCCACTGAACTGGGCGACAGAGGGAGACTCCATCTCAAAAAAAAAAAAAAAAAACCACAACAAAAAACTATCTACTTAAATACCATTTTATTAAAATAAATATTTTTCTGTGATCTTAGGTTTGTTTTGTCTCAACACTATAAATAGTGTATTGGTTGTCTCAAAGTGTTAAATAGAAGCATATTTTAGGGCATTGCTGAAATATCTACCAACTTTTCTTACTCTAAGTTATGCAATGGTGTATTGATTAATGCATTGGAACTTGTTAAGCAGTTTGTATGTCTGAAAAACCAAGGTTCAGAGGTATGTAGGTTAAATCCGGCAATCAAATATCACAGAGATATTTCAGAATATTATTTTTGTATACCAGAAAATACTTTTCAAAAAAAAAAAAAGTAAGGTCATTAGGAAGGCATTGTAAAGTTAATCTTTTCCAGCAAAGCTATTACATTTATTTTTCTGGAGCTCTTTAGTTATAAAAAGCAGAATGTAGTTATAGGATCTAGTCAGCATTAAATTGATTAAAAAAATGAAAAACACTTTCATCTTTAAATAGATTAACAATTAAGCATGTTGTTTATGTTGTCCCACTGATATACTAGAATATGCTACATTCTTTGGGGCATCTTTTAGACCATAGGGCTAAAATGTTGAGAATGACAGAGAGACAATTAGGAGCTCAGCACAAAGCAAAATGTTATGAATCAGGAAAATAAATAGAACAGAGATCAAAATTAGATAGATGCAGAATTGGAATGATACTGAAAACAAGAGATGGAACTGCAGAAAATACTATGGCAGATCATTCATTCCTTTGAATGGTGAAAGTAGTTAATACAACGGCTGACAATTGAAATGAAAAACCAGACCCAGATGAAAAAATGCAAACCAGTAAACTTGCCTAGTCCCATTATTTTACTCAATTGTAGGAAATACATGGAAAAAAAGTTGTTCATTATGGATCCTTTTTTCTAACGTAGGAAGAAGGCACCACTACATCTTTCTCATTTTTTTTACTCAAATGTTTGTGTTTTCTCATAGAACTTACAATTTTAATTTATCTTTCAATATATGTTGCCCGTACAGTCTAGTTAGATTCATAGTTGCAATGTTTCATGTGGTATATTTGCTCCCTATGGAATAGAACATAACATTAATCTCTAGATGTGTCACTAGAGAGATTTGTATATATCCACAAAAATCTACAGTTGCAACAAGAAAAATTATCCAGTGAAAATTTTGTGATATGAATGTCTTTCAACTTTTTAAAAAGTAAAGAGAAAATGATGAACAAATATGAGTTGGAAATCAGAATGAACAAATCGTGAAAATATAGTGTACCCCTTCAAAAAGTTTGAAAATTAAGAGAAATTGGTAGAACAGCTGTATTATCATTTACAAAAATGTTTCTCTACCTATAGAACAAACAATTACTTTGTCCTCTAATTTTCAAATAACTTACAGAACATTTATTTCCTACTGTCATTGGAATGGCAGGCTAGCAGGCTGAGTTCATAGCCCAATTGGTTCCTCACATCAAAAGATTCCCTTTATTATTTCCTTATTTTCTCTTTAATTCTGGCACTCCTTCATGATTGAACTTACAGATGTTCTTTTGTCTGCTAATCTTCGAGTAAGCCTGTGCTCTCTATAACTTTCAGTCTCAATTTCCTTCTACCATCAGCCTTTTGTCTAAACATTCTTATTCTGGTTTGTTTCCCTGAACTCTTGACATCAATCTCTGTTCCTTCAATATTATGTTTCTTCTACTGGAAGCAACAGATTTCCCAGATTTCACCCATTTTCCATTTTACTCTTCTCAATCTCTGTGTCTGAGTTAATTGCTTCCTTAGGTTTCTATGTAGGATTGTCTCTCCATCAGTAACTTTCCTATATCGCCCATGTTAACGTACCTATATCGTTTACTGAAAAATTTCTCCTTTAAAAAAAAATCAATGTGTTTGTTTACTTTCTTAAAATGCCCTCTTAAACTGCAAGGTCAAAGAAGGTAAGTATGATATTCGGATATTATATATCTACCACTTAATACAGAAAATATTCCAGCACTTGTATAGGTAGTATAAGACATAATTTTAGAACTCTAAAATAAAAACTCACAAATTGAAGTTAAATATCCATTTCCCACTGTTATCTCCTTTTCCTTTTAACACACTGATATCATTTGGATCTGTGTCCCCACCCAAATCTCAAGTCAAACTATAAGTCCCACTGTTGGAGGTGGGGCGTGTTGGGAGGCAATTGGATCATCTAGCGGTTTCTCTTAAATGGTTTAGCACCATCTCCTTGGTGCTGTTCTTGCGATAGTGAGTGAGTTATTGTGAGTCTGGTTGTTAAAAGTGTATAGCACCTCCCCACTTCTCACTCTTCTTCCTGCTTCCAGCCATGTGAAGTGCTGGCTCCCCCGTCACCTTCTGCCATGATTGTAAGCTTACTGAGGCCCACACCCAGGCAGCCCCAGAACCTGCTGGGTTCTGCTCTCTGCGACTACCAAGCCACCGGTGAAGAGAGCAGCCCACGGACACACAGGCAGACCTGTCCTCGACATCCCAAGAGCGCCACTTTTGGGGAGACTCACCCGCACACTGTCCGCGCACGCCTGAGGCTGGGATCCCGCGCTGTCTCCCCGGAGATCTGTCTGAGGTTTCTTCCTCCTGATGGACCCTCCGCGAATCCCGGCCTCCGGAGACCTTCCTGTTAACTGCCCTGGCCAGGACTGGTCTCAGCCCCGACTCTGACCAAGCTCACACAGGGTGCCTGCTTAGCCAAGTCTCAAGGACCCATCCCCGGGCAACGGTGGCGGTCACTGTGACCACAGCGGCGGCTCGGGCCTCGCGCATGCTCACTGGCGAGGCCGACTCACCCGCCCCACGCCCCCTTACTCCGCAGAGTCAGGCTGCAGACCCTTTAAAAAATGGCGGCGACATGGCGGCTGCGGGGACTGGGGTGGCGGTGCTGGAGGTTGCGGCGGGGACTGCGGCGCAGCCCGAGGCAGAGGGTGGGAAGAGGACTACCAGAGGGGCCTGCGGGAGACTCAGGGTCGGACCCATAGGAGTCCTGTCGTCAGGACCTCCTTGATCGGTCTCCTGCTTCTGTTCCCGGTGAAGGAGGACCTTCGGGGTGCTGGCTGGGCTGCGCGGACACCTCTTGGGATCCGATGATGGCTCCCACCGGCTGATCGGGAATGGGGTTACAATGCAGTGAGGCGGAAAGGGTCTCGCCGGGGCACGGAAAGATCCCCAAGGCCGCAAGGCGTGCTGTCGTCTGCAACGGCACTGACCCATGAGCCCACTGCCTCCCTCCTTCCTGGGTGGAGCAGGGGCCTGCCTTCATCTCCAAGGCCCGGGGGCTCCGGCATCCCGACGCAGCTTCCGGCGACATCGGCAAAGACAGAGGCGAGTCCGAGCTGGAGCCCGTGTGACCAAACGTGGCACTGACGTCCCCCAAGAGCACATGCAGAGAGCGTGTGTCTTTGAGGCCGTAGGGGGCGACGACGAGACGGACAGTGATGTCCAGGCGTGCGCCCGGGGGCCACTGGAGACCTGCCCCACAAAGCAGAGGAAAAGCCAAGCGCACCTGCAAACCTGCGAGACAGGGCCTGTGCGCGAGTCCAGGCCACATTCAGGGAGGCCCGCCAGAGGAGCCCAGAGCTTTGGACCAAGTACACCCCACCCCCACGCCGCTACCGCTTAGGTACCCCTGACGCAACCTCCCCTGCACCCAGCCAAAACCCAGTCCCGTTGGCTCCCTGACATCCGTGGCAGCCAAAAGATTCAGTGCCAGAAGGCGCTTTCCCCAGGAGCGGAGGGACCGGTTGGCCCTCAAGGATCAGACAGGAAGTGCAGGTGGGATGCAACACCGCCTTTCCTGGAAGGCCAATGTGGGGAACGGTGGGCTTGCCTCCCCCTCTTCCTGGACCGAGCGCGCAGCCATCACTTGGGCCATGGAGACCAAGAGAGCTTCCCTGTCCCACACAGGTATGGAAGCCCAGAGCTCCAGGATCACCACACCTGCCCAATCATCCAGAAAGAGGTGTGGAGAGGGAAACGATCATGACACGGACGCCCACGGGGTTTCTCCCTGATGGACTGGGAAGTCTTCTTTGTTGAAGACGTTGAGCCAGAATAAGAAGCCGCCAGGCTTCTCAGAGACGGGGCAGACACAGCAAGAGGGAGGACAGAGCAGAGGCCAGAGTCCAGGCAGGATACGGGGCCATGCCACCACCACGGGCATCCGGAGAGGAGTGTCAGACGGGTGACTCGGCCAGGAAGGCCAGCCTTTGAGTGACAGAGATGCTTGCCCCATCCCCTTGCCGGCTTCCTTCTCCGTCCCTGCGTCGATCTGTGGCTCCATTTCTCCATGAGGGAGAGGGCGAGAGGCGTGAGAACCATCTTCTTGAAGGTCTGCGGGCACCCTCCTGCGGGTGGACAATGAGCGCCTGGGAGGCCGTTGTCCTTGCTTGGGGAGCGGTCGTCTGGATCTAGCCTAGCAAAGAGGCTGCTCCGGATGGGGAGGGGACGAAAACCCCTGCGGTTCCGAAGCAGATGCCGGCGTTGCCCAGGCCCTCACAGACCCCCAAACCGGAACCGCCGGGAAACCGACTGCTAACCGGCCACACGACCGAGGCAGAGACGCGGGGAGAGGCTGACCAGAAGAAAGGCCGACCTGCAAGAAACCCACCCTCCGGCACACGAGGCACATGTGTCCCGAGGCACAAGCACACACAGACGGACAGAGATAGAAAGAGAGGGCGACGGAAAGAGCGAGGGGGGGGGGAGAGAGAGAGAGAGACAAGAGATAGACAGAAGTGGGCACACGGACGCCACGCACGCACGCACACAGACACACACACACACACAAACACACACACACACACACACACAACCAAGACGCAAACAGACATACAGCAGGTAACACCCACCCCCAGGCTGCCCCTGAAGCTGTCGGGTTCTGCTCTCCGCGACTACGAGGCCACCGGTGAGACAGCAGCCCACGGACACCCTGGCAGACCTGTCCTCCACATCACAAGGGCGCCACTTTTGGGGAGACTCACCCGCACACCGTCCGTGCACGCCTGAGGCTGGAATCCCGCGCTGCGGCCCCGGCGATCTGTCTGAGGTTTCTTCCTCCTGGCGGACCCTCCGCGAATCCCGGCCTCCGGAGACCGTCCTGGTAACTGCCCTGGCCAGGACTGGTCTCAGCCCCGACTCTGACGCACAATCACACAGGGCTCCTACTTCGCCAATTCTCAGGGACCCATCCCCGGGCAACGGTGGCAGTCACTGTGACCAAAGCGGCGGCTGGGGCCTCGCGCATGCGCACTGGCGAGGCCGACTCACCCGCCCCACCCCTCCTTACTCAGCAGAGTCAGGCTGCGGACCCTTTAAAAAACGGCGGTGACGCGGCGGCTGCGGGGACTGGGGCGGCGGTGCTGGAGGTTGCGGCGGCGGCGGCTGCGGCGCAGCCCGAGGCGGCGGGTGGGAAGAGGTCTACCAGAGGGGCCTGCGGGAGACCCAGGGTCGGACCCATAGGAGTCCTGTCGTCAGGACCTCCTTGATCGGTCTCCTGATTCTGTTCCCGGTGAAGGAGGACCTTCGGGGTGCTGGCTGGGCTGCGCGGACTCCTCTTGGGATCCGATGATGGCTCCCACCGGCTGATCGGGAATGGGGTTACAATGCAGTGAGGCGGAAAGGGTCTCGCCGGGGCAAGGAAAGATCCCCAGGGCCGCAAGGCGTGCTGTCGTCTGCAACGGCACGGACCCATGAGTCCACTGCCTCCCTCCTTCCTGGGTGGAGCAGGGGCCTGCCTTCATCTTCAAGGCCCGGGCGCTCCGGCATCCCGACGCAGCTTCCGGCGACACCGGCAAAGGCAGACAGAGGCGAGTCCGAGCTGGAGCCCGTGTGACCAAACGTGGCACTGACGTCCCCCAAGAGCACATGCAGTGAGCGTGTGTCTTTGAGGCCGTAGGGGGCGACTACGAGACGGACAGTGATGTCCAGGCGTGCGCCCGGGGGCCACTGGAGACCTGCCCCACAAAGCGGAGGAAAAGCCAAGCGCACCTGCAAACCTGCGAGACAGGGCCTGTGCGCGAGTCCAGGCCACATTCAGGGAGGCCCGCCAGAGGAGCCCAGAGCTTTGGACCAAGTACACCCCACCCCCACGCCGCTACCGCTTAGGTACCCCTGACGCAACCTCCGCTGCACCCAGCCAAAACCCAGTCCCGTTGGCTCCCTGACATCCGT
This sequence comes from Homo sapiens, assembly GCF_000001405.40. Taxonomy (NCBI): domain Eukaryota; kingdom Metazoa; phylum Chordata; class Mammalia; order Primates; family Hominidae; genus Homo; species Homo sapiens. Next base: position 131,761,403 of record NC_000004.12, on the reverse strand, counting down.
GGCAGCCAAAAGATTCAGTGCCAGAAGGCGCTTTCCCCAGGAGCGGAGGAACCGGTTGGCCCTCAAGGATCAGACAGGAAGTGCAGGTGGGCTGCAACACCGCCTTTCCTGGAAGGCCAATGTGGGGAACGGTGGGCTTGTCTCCCCCTCTTCCTGGACCGAGCGCGCAGCCATCACTTGGGCCATGGAGACCAAGAGAGCTTCCCTGTCCCACACAGGTATGGAAGCCCAGAGCTCCAGGATCACCACACCTGCCCAATCATCCAGAAAGTGGTGTGGAGAGGGAAACGATCACGACACGGACGCCCACGGGGTTTCTCCCTGATGGACAGGGAAGTCTTCTTTGTTGAAGACGTTGAGCCAGACTAAGAAGCCGCCAGGCTTCTCAGAGACGGGGCAGACACAGCAAGAGGGAGGACAGAGCAGAGGCCAGAGTCCAGGCAGGATACGGGGCCATGCCACCACCACGGGCATCCGGGGAGGAGTGTCAGACGGGTGACTCGGCCAGGAAGGCCAGCCTTTGAGTGACAGAGATGCTTGCCCCATCCCCTTGCCGGCTTCCTTCTCCGTCCCTGCGTCGAGCTGTGGCTCCATTTCTCCATGAGGGAGAGGGCGAGAGGCGTGAGAACCATCCTCTTGAAGGTCTGCGGGCACCCTCCTGCGGGTGGACAATGAGCGCCTGGGAGGCCGTTGTCCTTGCTTGGGGAGCGGTCGTCTGGATCTAGCCTAGCAAAGAGGCTGCTCCGGATGGGGAGGGGACGAAAACCCCTGCGGTTCCGAAGCAGATGCCGGCATTGCCCAGGCCCTCACAGACCCCCAAACCGGAACCGCCGGGAAACCGACTACTAACCGGCTACACGACCGAGGCAGAGACGCGGGGAGAGGCTGACCAGAAGAAAGGCCGACCTGCAAGAAACCCACCCTCCGGCACACGGGGCACATGTGTCCCGAGGCACAAGCACACACAGACGGACAGAGATAGAAAGAGAGGGCGACGGAAAGAGCGAGGGGGGGGAGAGAGAGAGAGAGACGTAAGAGATAGACAGAAGTGGGCACACGGACGCCACGCACGCACGCACACAGACACACACACACACACACACACACACACACACACACACACAACCAAGACGCACACAGACATACAGCAGGTAACACCCACCCCCAGGCTGCCCCTGAAGCTGCCGGGTTCTGCTCTCCGCGACTACGAGGCCACCGGTGAGACAGCAGCCCACGGACACCCTGGCAGACCTGTCCTCCACATCACAAGGGCGCTACTTTTGGGGAGACTCACCCGCACACCGTCCGTGCACGCCTGAGGCTGGGATCCCGCGCTGCGTCCCCGGCGATCTATCTGAGGTTTCTTCCTCCTGGCGGACCCTCCGCGAATCCCGGCCTCCGGAGACCGTCCTGGTAACTGCCCTGGCCAGGACTGGTCTCAGCCCCGACTCTGACGCAGAATCACAAAGGGCTCCTACTTCGCCAATTCTCAGGGACCCATCCCCGGGCAACGGTGGCGGTCACTGTGACCAAAGCGGCGGCTGGGGCCTCGCGCATGCGCACTGGCGAGGCCGACTCACCCGCCCCACCCCTCCTTACTCAGCAGAGTCAGGCTGCGGACCCTTTAAAAAATGGCGGTGACGCGGCGGCTGCGGGGACTAGGGTGGTGGTGCTGGAGGTTGCGGCGGCGGCGGCTGCGGCGCAGCCCGAGGCGGCGGGTGGGAAGAGGTCTACCAGAGGGGCCTGCGGGAGACCCAGGGTCGGACCCATAGGAGTCCTGTCGTCAGGACCTCCTTGATCGGTCTCCTGCTTCTGTTCCCGGTGAAGGAGGACCTTCGGGGTGCTGGCTGGGCTGCGCGGACTCCTCTTGGGATCCGATGATGGCTCCCACCGGCTGATCGGGAATGGGGTTACAATGCAGTGAGGCGGAAAGGGTCTCGCCGGGGCACGGAAAGATCCCCAGGGCCGCAAGGCTTGCTGTCGTCTGCAACGGCACTGACCCATGAGCCCACTGCCTCCCTCCATCCTGGGTGGAGCAGGGGCCTGCCTTCATCTCCAAAGCCCGGGGGCTCCGGCATCCCGACGCAGCTTCCGGCGACACCGGCAAAGACAGACAGAGGCGAGTCCGAGCTGGAGCCCGTGTGACCAAACGTGGCACTGACGTCCCCCAAGAGCACATGCAGAGAGCGTGTGTCTTTGAGGCCGTAGGGGGCGACGACGAGACGGACAGTGATGTCCAGGCGTGCGCCCGGGGGCCACTGGAGACCTGCCCCACAAAGCGGAGGAAAAGCCAAGCGCACCTGCAAACCTGCGAGACAGGGCCTGTGCGCGAGTCCAGGCCACATTCAGGGAGGCCCGCCAGAGGAGCCCAGAGCTTTGGACCAAGTACACCCCACCCCCACGCCGCTACCGCTTAGGTACCCCTTACGCAACCTCCCCTGCACCCAGCCAAAACCCAGTCCCGTTGGCTCCCTGACATCCGTGGCAGCCAAAAGATTCAGTGCCAGAAGGCGCTTTCCCCAGGAGCGGAGGAACCGGTTGGCCCTCAAGGATCAGACAGGAAGTGCAGGTGGGATGCAACACCGCCTTTCCTGGAAGGCCAATGTGGGGAACGGTGGGCTTGCCTCCCCCTCTTCCTGGACTGAGCGCGCAGCCATCACTTGGGCCATGGAGACCAAGAGAGCTTCCCTGTCCCACACAGGTATGGAAGCCCAGAGCTCCAGGATCACCACACCTGCCCAATCATGCAGAAAGAGGTGTCGAGAGGGAAACGATCATGACACGGACGCCCACGGGGTTTGTCCCTGGACTGGGAAGTCTTCTTTGTTGAAGACGTTGAGCCAGACTAAGAAGCCGCCATGCTTCTCAGAGACGGGGCAGACACAGCAAAAGGGAGGACAGAGCAGAGGCCAGAGCCCAGGCAGGATACGGGGCCATGCCACCACCACGGGCATCCGGGGAGGAGTGTCAGACGGGTGACTCGGCCAGGAAGGCCAGCCTTTGAGTGACAGAGATGCTTGCCCCATCCCCTTGCCGGCTTCCTTCTCCGTCCCTGCGTCGAGCTGTGGCTCCATTTCTCCATGAGGGAGAGGGCGAGAGGCGTGAGAACCATCCTCTTGAAGGTCTGCGGGCACCCTCCTGCGGGTGGACAATGAGCGCCTGGGAGGCCGTTGTCCTTGCTTGGGGAGCGGTCGTCTGGATCTAGCCTAGCAAAGAGGCTGCTCCGGATGGGGAGGGGACGAAAACCCCTGCGGTTCCGAAGCAGATGCCGGCATTGCCCAGGCCCTCACAGACCCCCAAACCGGAACCGCCGGGAAACCGACTGCTAACCGGCTACACGACCGAGGCAGAGACGCGGGGAGAGGCTGACCAGAAGAAAGGCCGACCTGCAAGAAACCCACCCTCCGGCACACGGGGCACATGTGTCCCGAGGCACAAGCACACACAGACGGACAGAGATAGAAAGAGAGGGCGACGGAAAGAGCGAGGGCGGGGAGAGAGAGAGAGAGACGTAAGAGATAGACAGAAGTGGGCACACGGACGCCACGCACGCACGCACACAGACACACACACACACACACACACACACACACACAACCAAGACGCACACAGACATACAGCAGGTAACACCCACCCCCAGGCTGCCCCTGAAGCTGCCGGGTTCTGCTCTCCGCGACTACGAGGCCACCGGTGAGACAGCAGCCCACGGACACCCTGGCAGACCTGTCCTCCACATCACAAGGGCGCTACTTTTGGGGAGACTCACCCGCACACCGTCCGTGCACGCCTGAGGCTGGGATCCCGCGCTGCGTCCCCGGCGATCTGTCTGAGGTTTCTTCCTCCTGGCGGACCCTCCGCGAATCCCGGCCTCCGGAGACCGTCCTGGTAACTGCCCTGGCCAGGACTGGTCTCAGCCCCGACTCTGACGCACAATCACAAAGGGCTCCTACTTCGCCAATTCTCAGGGACCCATCCCCGGGCAACGGTGGCGGTCACTGTGACCAAAGCGGCGGCTGGGGCCTCGCGCATGCGCACTGGCGAGGCCGACTCACCCACCCCACCCCTCCTTACTCAGCAGAGTCAGGCTGCGGACCCTTTAAAAAATGGCGGCGACGCGGCGGCTGCGGGGACTGGGGCGGCGGTGCTGGAGGTTGCGGCGGCGGCGGCTGCGTCGCAGCCCAAGGCGGCGGGTGGGAAGAGGTCTACCAGAGGGGCCTGCGGGAGACCCAGGGTCGGACCCATAGGAGTCCTGTCGTCAGGACCTCCTTGATCGGTCTCCTGCTTCTGTTCCCGGTGAAGGAGGACCTTCGGGGTGCTGGCTGGGCTGCGCGGACTCCTCTTGGGATCCGATGATGGCTCCCACCGGCTGATCGGGAATGGGGTTACAATGCAGTGAGGCGGAAAGGGTCTCGCCGGGGCAAGGAAAGATCCCCAGGGCCGCAAGGCGTGCTGTCGTCTGCAACGGCACGGACCCATGAGTCCACTGCCTCCCTCCTTCCTGGGTGGAGCAGGGGCCTGCCTTCATCTTCAAGGCCCGGGCGCTCCGGCATCCCGACGCAGCTTCCGGCGACACCGGCAAAGGCAGACAGAGGCGAGTCCGAGCTGGAGCCCGTGTGACCAAACGTGGCACTGACGTCCCCCAAGAGCACATGCAGTGAGCGTGTGTCTTTGAGGCCGTAGGGGGCGACTACGAGACGGACAGTGATGTCCAGGCGTGCGCCCGGGGGCCACTGGAGACCTGCCCCACAAAGCGGAGGAAAAGCCAAGCGCACCTGCAAACCTGCGAGACAGGGCCTGTGCGCGAGTCCAGGCCACATTCAGGGAGGCCCGCCAGAGGAGCCCAGAGCTTTGGACCAAGTACACCCCACCCCCACGCCGCTACCGCTTAGGTACCCCTGACGCAACCTCCGCTGCACCCAACCAAAACCCAGTCCCGTTGGCTCCCTGACATCCGTGGCAGCCAAAAGATTCAGTGCCAGAAGGCGCTTTCCCCAGGAGCGGAGGAACCGGTTGGCCCTCAAGGATCAGACAGGAAGTGCAGGTGGGCTGCAACACCGCCTTTCCTGGAAGGCCAATGTGGGGAACGGTGGGCTTGTCTCCCCCTCTTCCTGGACCGAGCGCGCAGCCATCACTTGGGCCATGGAGACCAAGAGAGCTTCCCTGTCCCACACAGGTATGGAAGCCCAGAGCTCCAGGATCACCACACCTGCCCAATCATCCAGAAAGTGGTGTGGAGAGGGAAACGATCACGACACGGACGCCCACGGGGTTTCTCCCTGATGGACAGGGAAGTCTTCTTTGTTGAAGACGTTGAGCCAGACTAAGAAGCCGCCAGGCTTCTCAGAGACGGGGCAGACACAGCAAGAGGGAGGACAGAGCAGAGGCCAGAGTCCAGGCAGGATACGGGGCCATGCCACCACCACGGGCATCCGGGGAGGAGTGTCAGACGGGTGACTCGGCCAGGAAGGCCAGCCTTTGAGTGACAGAGATGCTTGCCCCATCCCCTTGCCGGCTTCCTTCTCCGTCCCTGCGTCGAGCTGTGGCTCCATTTCTCCATGAGGGAGAGGGCGAGAGGCGTGAGAACCATCCTCTTGAAGGTCTGCGGGCACCCTCCTGCGGGTGGACAATGAGCGCCTGGGAGGCCGTTGTCCTTGCTTGGGGAGCGGTCGTCTGGATCTAGCCTAGCAAAGAGGCTGCTCCGGATGGGGAGGGGACGAAAACCCCTGCGGTTCCGAAGCAGATGCCGGCATTGCCCAGGCCCTCACAGACCCCCAAACCGGAACCGCCGGGAAACCGACTACTAACCGGCTACACGACCGAGGCAGAGACGCGGGGAGAGGCTGACCAGAAGAAAGGCCGACCTGCAAGAAACCCACCCTCCGGCACACGGGGCACATGTGTCCCGAGGCACAAGCACACACAGACGGACAGAGATAGAAAGAGAGGGCGACGGAAAGAGCGAGGGGGGGGAGAGAGAGAGAGAGACGTAAGAGATAGACAGAAGTGGGCACACGGACGCCACGCACGCACGCACACAGACACACACACACACACACACACACACACACACACACACACAACCAAGACGCACACAGACATACAGCAGGTAACACCCACCCCCAGGCTGCCCCTGAAGCTGCCGGGTTCTGCTCTCCGCGACTACGAGGCCACCGGTGAGACAGCAGCCCACGGACACCCTGGCAGACCTGTCCTCCACATCACAAGGGCGCTACTTTTGGGGAGACTCACCCGCACACCGTCCGTGCACGCCTGAGGCTGGGATCCCGCGCTGCGTCCCCGGCGATCTATCTGAGGTTTCTTCCTCCTGGCGGACCCTCCGCGAATCCCGGCCTCCGGAGACCGTCCTGGTAACTGCCCTGGCCAGGACTGGTCTCAGCCCCGACTCTGACGCAGAATCACAAAGGGCTCCTACTTCGCCAATTCTCAGGGACCCATCCCCGGGCAACGGTGGCGGTCACTGTGACCAAAGCGGCGGCTGGGGCCTCGCGCATGCGCACTGGCGAGGCCGACTCACCCGCCCCACCCCTCCTTACTCAGCAGAGTCAGGCTGCGGACCCTTTAAAAAATGGCGGTGACGCGGCGGCTGCGGGGACTAGGGTGGTGGTGCTGGAGGTTGCGGCGGCGGCGGCTGCGGCGCAGCCCGAGGCGGCGGGTGGGAAGAGGTCTACCAGAGGGGCCTGCGGGAGACCCAGGGTCGGACCCATAGGAGTCCTGTCGTCAGGACCTCCTTGATCGGTCTCCTGCTTCTGTTCCCGGTGAAGGAGGACCTTCGGGGTGCTGGCTGGGCTGCGCGGACTCCTCTTGGGATCCGATGATGGCTCCCACCGGCTGATCGGGAATGGGGTTACAATGCAGTGAGGCGGAAAGGGTCTCGCCGGGGCACGGAAAGATCCCCAGGGCCGCAAGGCTTGCTGTCGTCTGCAACGGCACTGACCCATGAGCCCACTGCCTCCCTCCATCCTGGGTGGAGCAGGGGCCTGCCTTCATCTCCAAAGCCCGGGGGCTCCGGCATCCCGACGCAGCTTCCGGCGACACCGGCAAAGACAGACAGAGGCGAGTCCGAGCTGGAGCCCGTGTGACCAAACGTGGCACTGACGTCCCCCAAGAGCACATGCAGAGAGCGTGTGTCTTTGAGGCCGTAGGGGGCGACGACGAGACGGACAGTGATGTCCAGGCGTGCGCCCGGGGGCCACTGGAGACCTGCCCCACAAAGCGGAGGAAAAGCCAAGCGCACCTGCAAACCTGCGAGACAGGGCCTGTGCGCGAGTCCAGGCCACATTCAGGGAGGCCCGCCAGAGGAGCCCAGAGCTTTGGACCAAGTACACCCCACCCCCACGCCGCTACCGCTTAGGTACCCCTTACGCAACCTCCCCTGCACCCAGCCAAAACCCAGTCCCGTTGGCTCCCTGACATCCGTGGCAGCCAAAAGATTCAGTGCCAGAAGGCGCTTTCCCCAGGAGCGGAGGAACCGGTTGGCCCTCAAGGATCAGACAGGAAGTGCAGGTGGGATGCAACACCGCCTTTCCTGGAAGGCCAATGTGGGGAACGGTGGGCTTGCCTCCCCCTCTTCCTGGACTGAGCGCGCAGCCATCACTTGGGCCATGGAGACCAAGAGAGCTTCCCTGTCCCACACAGGTATGGAAGCCCAGAGCTCCAGGATCACCACACCTGCCCAATCATGCAGAAAGAGGTGTCGAGAGGGAAACGATCATGACACGGACGCCCACGGGGTTTGTCCCTGGACTGGGAAGTCTTCTTTGTTGAAGACGTTGAGCCAGACTAAGAAGCCGCCATGCTTCTCAGAGACGGGGCAGACACAGCAAAAGGGAGGACAGAGCAGAGGCCAGAGCCCAGGCAGGATACGGGGCCATGCCACCACCACGGGCATCCGGGGAGGAGTGTCAGACGGGTGACTCGGCCAGGAAGGCCAGCCTTTGAGTGACAGAGATGCTTGCCCCATCCCCTTGCCGGCTTCCTTCTCCGTCCCTGCGTCGAGCTGTGGCTCCATTTCTCCATGAGGGAGAGGGCGAGAGGCGTGAGAACCATCCTCTTGAAGGTCTGCGGGCACCCTCCTGCGGGTGGACAATGAGCGCCTGGGAGGCCGTTGTCCTTGCTTGGGGAGCGGTCGTCTGGATCTAGCCTAGCAAAGAGGCTGCTCCGGATGGGGAGGGGACGAAAACCCCTGCGGTTCCGAAGCAGATGCCGGCATTGCCCAGGCCCTCACAGACCCCCAAACCGGAACCGCCGGGAAACCGACTGCTAACCGGCTACACGACCGAGGCAGAGACGCGGGGAGAGGCTGACCAGAAGAAAGGCCGACCTGCAAGAAACCCACCCTCCGGCACACGGGGCACATGTGTCCCGAGGCACAAGCACACACAGACGGACAGAGATAGAAAGAGAGGGCGACGGAAAGAGCGAGGGCGGGGAGAGAGAGAGAGAGACGTAAGAGATAGACAGAAGTGGGCACACGGACGCCACGCACGCACGCACACAGACACACACACACACACACACACACACACACACAACCAAGACGCACACAGACATACAGCAGGTAACACCCACCCCCAGGCTGCCCCTGAAGCTGCCGGGTTCTGCTCTCCGCGACTACGAGGCCACCGGTGAGACAGCAGCCCACGGACACCCTGGCAGACCTGTCCTCCACATCACAAGGGCGCTACTTTTGGGGAGACTCACCCGCACACCGTCCGTGCACGCCTGAGGCTGGGATCCCGCGCTGCGTCCCCGGCGATCTGTCTGAGGTTTCTTCCTCCTGGCGGACCCTCCGCGAATCCCGGCCTCCGGAGACCGTCCTGGTAACTGCCCTGGCCAGGACTGGTCTCAGCCCCGACTCTGACGCACAATCACAAAGGGCTCCTACTTCGCCAATTCTCAGGGACCCATCCCCGGGCAACGGTGGCGGTCACTGTGACCAAAGCGGCGGCTGGGGCCTCGCGCATGCGCACTGGCGAGGCCGACTCACCCACCCCACCCCTCCTTACTCAGCAGAGTCAGGCTGCGGACCCTTTAAAAAATGGCGGCGACGCGGCGGCTGCGGGGACTGGGGCGGCGGTGCTGGAGGTTGCGGCGGCGGCGGCTGCGTCGCAGCCCAAGGCGGCGGGTGGGAAGAGGTCTACCAGAGGGGCCTGCGGGAGACCCAGGGTCGGACCCATAGGAGTCCTGTCGTCAGGACCTCCTTGATCGGTCTCCTGCTTCTGTTCCCGGTGAAGGAGGACCTTCGGGGTGCTGGCTGGGCTGCGCGGACTCCTCTTGGGATCCGATGATGGCTCCCACCGGCTGATCGGGAATGGGGTTACAATGCAGTGAGGCGGAAAGGGTCTCGCCGGGGCAAGGAAAGATCCCCAGGGCCGCAAGGCGTGCTGTCGTCTGCAACGGCACGGACCCATGAGTCCACTGCCTCCCTCCTTCCTGGGTGGAGCAGGGGCCTGCCTTCATCTTCAAGGCCCGGGCGCTCCGGCATCCCGACGCAGCTTCCGGCGACACCGGCAAAGGCAGACAGAGGCGAGTCCGAGCTGGAGCCCGTGTGACCAAACGTGGCACTGACGTCCCCCAAGAGCACATGCAGAGAGCGTGTGTCTTTGAGGCCGTAGGGGGCGACGACGAGACGGACAGTGATGTCCAGGCGTGTGCCCGGGGGCCACTGGAGACCTGCCCCACAAAGCGGAGGAAAAGCCAAGCGCACCTGCAAACCTGCGAGACAGGGCCTGTGCGCGAGTCCAGGCCACATTCAGGGAGGCCCGCCAGAGGAGCCCAGAGCTTTGGACCAAGTACACCCCACCCCCACGCCGCTACCGCTTAGGTACCCCTGACGCAACCTCCCCTGCACCCAGCCAAAACCCAGTCCCGTTGGCTCCCTGACATCCGTGGCAGCCAAAAGATTCAGTGCCAGAAGGCGCTTTCCCCAGGAGCGGAGGAACCGGTTGGCCCTCAAGGATCAGACAGGAAGTGCAGGTGGGATGCAACACCGCCTTTCCTGGAAGGCCAATGTGGGGAACGGTGGGCTTGCCTCCCCCTCTTCCTGGACCGAGCGCGCAGCCATCACTTGGGCCATGGAGACCAAGAGAGCTTCCCTGTCCCACACAGGTATGGAAGCCCAGAGCTCCAGGATCACCACACCTGCCCAATCATCCAGAAAGAGGTGTGGAGAGGGAAACGATCACGACACGGACGCCCACGGGGTTTCTCCCTGATGGACTGGGAAGTCTTCTTTGTTGAAGACGTTGAGCCAGACTAAGAAGCCGCCAGGCTTCGCAGAGACGGGGCAGACACAGCAAGAGGGAGGACAGAGCAGAGGCCAGAGTCCAGGCAGGATACGGGGCCATGCCACCACCACGGGCATCCGGGGAGGAGTGTCAGACGGGTGACTCGGTCAGGAAGGCCAGCTTTTGAGTGACAGAGATGCTTGCCCCATCCCCTTGCCGGCTTCCTTCTCCGTCCCTGCGTCGAGCTGTGGCTCCATTTCTCCATGAGGGAGAGGGCGAGAGGCGTGAGAACCATCTTCTTGAAGGTCTGCGGGCACCCTCCTGCGGTTGAACAATGAGCGCCTGGGAGGCCGTTGTCCTTGCTTGTGGAGCGGTCGTCTGGATCTAGCCTAGCAAAGAGGCTGCTCCGGATGGGGAGGGGACGAAAACCCCTGCGGTTCCGACGCAGATGCCCGCGTTGCGCAGGCCTTCACAGACCCCCAAACCGGAACCGCCGGGAAACCGACTGCCATCCGGCCACACGACCCAGGCAGTGACGCGGGGAGAGGCTGACCAGAAGAAAGGCCGACCTGCAAGAAACCCACCCTCCGGCGCACGGGGCACATGTGTCCCGAGGCACAAGCACACACAGACGGACAGAGATACAAAGAGAGGGCGACGGAAAGAGCGGGGGGGGGGGAGAGAGAGAGAGAGACGTAAGAGATAGAAGTGGGCACACAGACGCGCGCACGCACGCACACAGACACACACACACACACACACACACACACACAAACACACACAACCAAGACGCACACAGACATACAGCAGGTAACACCCACCCCCAGGCTGCCCCTGAAGCTGCCGGGTTCTGCTCTCCGAGACTACGAAGCCACCGGTGAGACAGCAGCCCACGGACACCCTGGTAGACCTGTCCTCCACATCACAAGGGCGCCACTATTGGGGAGACTCACCCGCACACCGTCCCCGCACGCCTCAGGCTGGGATCCCGTGCTGCGTCCCCGGCGATCTGTCTCAGGTTTCTTCCTTCTGGCGTTTCTTCCTCCTGGTTGACCCTCCGCGAATCCCGGCCTCCGGAGACCGTCCTGGTAACTGCCCTGGCCACGACTGGTCTGAGCCCCGACTCTGACGCACGATCACACAGGGCTCCTACTTCGCCAAGTCTCAGGGACCCATCCCCGAGCAACGGTGGCGGTCACTGTGACCAAAGCGGCGGCTGGGGCCTCGCGCATGCGCACTGGCGAGGCCGACTCACCCGCCCCACCCCTCCTTACTCAGCAGAGTCAGGCTGCGGACCCTTTAAAAAATGGCGGCGACGCGGCGGCTGCGGGGACTGGGGCGGCGGTGCTGGAGGTTGCGGCGGCGGCGGCTGCGGCGCAGCCCGAGGCGGCGGGTGGGAAGAGGACTACCAGAGGGGCCTGCGGGAGACCCAGGGTCGGACCCATAGGAGTCCTGTCGTCAGGACCTCCTTGATCGGTCTCCTGCTTCTGTTCCCGGTGAAGGAGGACCTTCGGGGTGCTGGCTGGGCTGCGCGGACACCTCTTGGGATCCGATGATGGCTCCCACCGGCTGATCGGGAATGAGGTCACTATGCAGTGAGGCGGAAAGGGTCTCGCCGGGGCACGGAAAGATCCCCAGGGCCGCAAGGCGTGCTGTCGTCTGCAACCGCACTGACCCATGAGCCCACTGCCTCCGTCCTTCCTGGGGGGAGCAGGGACCTGCCTTCATCTCCAAGGCCCGGGGGCTCCGGCATCCCAACGCAGCTTCCGGCGACACCGGCAAAGACAGACAGAGGCGAGTCCGAGCTGGAGCCCGTGTGACCAAACGTGGCACTGACGTCCCCCAAGAGCACATGCAGTGAGCGTGTGTCTTTGAGGCCGTAGGGGGCGACGACGAGATGGACAGTGATGTCCAGGCGTGCGCCCGGGGGCCACTGGAGACCTGCCCCACAAAGCGGAGGAAAAGCCAAGCGCACCTGCAAACCTGCGAGACAGGGCCAGTGCGCGAGTCCAGGCCACATTCAGGGAGGCCCGCCAGAGGAGCCCAGAGCTTTGGACCAAGTACACCCCACCCCCACGCCGCTACCGCTTAGGTACCCCTGACGCAACCTCCCCTGCACCCAGCCAAAACCCAGTCCCGTTGGCTCCCTGACATCCGTGGCAGCCAAAAGATTCAGTGCTAGAAGGCGCTTTCCCCAGGAGCGGAGGGACCGGTTGGCCCTCAAGGATCAGACAGGAAGTGCAGGTGGGATGCAACACCGCCTTTCCTGGAAGGCCAATGTGGGGAACGGTGGGCTTGCCTCCCCCTCTTCCTGGACTGAGCGCGCAGCCATCACTTGGGCCATGGAGACCAAGAGAGCTTCCCTGTCCCACACAGGTATGGAAGCCCAGAGCTCCAGGATCACCACACCTGCCCAATCATGCAGAAAGAGGTGTCGAGAGGGAAACGATCATGACACGGACGCCCACGGGGTTTGTCCCTGGACTGGGAAGTCTTCTTTGTTGAAGACGTTGAGCCAGACTAAGAAGCCTCCATGCTTCTCAGAGACGGGGGAGACACAGGAAAAGGGAGGACAGAGCAGAGGCCAGAGCCCAGGCAGGATATGGGGCCATGCCACCACCACGGGCATCCGGGGAGGAGTGTCAGACGGGTGACTCGGCCAGGAAGGCCAGCCTTTGAGTGACAGAGATGCTTGCCCCATCCCCTTGCCGGCTTCCTTCTCCGTCCCTGCGTCGAGCTGTGGCTCCATTTCTCCATGAGGGAGAGGGCGAGAGGCGTGAGAACCATCCTCTTGAAGGTCAGCGGGCACCCTCCTGCGGGTGGACAATGAGCGCCTGGGAGGCCGTTGTCCTTGCTTGGGGAGCGGTCCTCTGGATCTAGCCTAGCAAAGAGGCTGCTCCGGATGGGGAGGGGACGAAAACCCCTGCGGTTCCGAAGCAGATGCCGGCATTGCCCAGGCCCTCACAGACCCCCAAACCGGAACCGCCGGGAAACCGACTGCTAACCGGCTACACGACCGAGGCAGAGACGCGGGGAGAGGCTGACCAGAAGAAAGGCCGACCTGCAAGAAACCCACCCTCCGGCACACGGGGCACATGTGTCCCGAGGCACAAGCACACACAGACGGACAGAGATAGAAAGAGAGGGCGACGGAAAGAGCGAGGGCGGGGAGAGAGAGAGAGAGACGTAAGAGATAGACAGAAGTGGGCACACGGACGCCACGCACGCACGCACACAGACACACACACACACACACACACACACACAACCAAGACGCACACAGACATACAGCAGGTAACACCCACCCCCAGGCTGCCCCTGAAGCTGCCGGGTTCTGCTCTCCGCGACTACGAGGCCACCGGTGAGACAGCAGCCCACGGACACCCTGGCAGACCTGTCCTCCACATCACAAGGGCGCTACTTTTGGGGAGACTCACCCGCACACCGTCCGTGCACGCCTGAGGCTGGGATCCCGCGCTGCGTCCCCGGCGATCTGTCTGAGGTTTCTTCCTCCTGGCGGACCCTCCGCGAATCCCAGCCTCCGGAGACCGTCCTGGTAACTGCCCTGGCCAGGACTGGTCTCAGCCCCAACTCTGACGCACAATCACACAGGGCTCCTACTTCGCCAAGTCTCAGGGACCCATCCCCGGGCAACGGTGGCGGTCACTGTGACCAAAGCGGCGGCTGGGGCCTCGCGCATGCGCACTGGCGAGGCCGACTCACCCGCCCCACCCCTCCTTACTCAGCAGAGTCAGGCTGCGGACCCTTTAAAAAATGGCGGTGACGCGGCGGCTGCGGGGACTGGGGCGGCGGTGCTGGAGGTTGCGGCGGCGGCGGCTGCGGCGCAGCCCGAGGCGGCGGGTGGGAAGAGGTCTACCAGAGGGGCCTGCGGGAGACCCAGGGTCGGACCCATAGGAGTCCTGTCGTCAGGACCTCCTTGATCGGTCTCCTGATTCTGTTCCCGGTGAAGGAGGACCTTCGGGGTGCTGGCTGGGCTGCGCGGACTCCTCTTGGGATCCGATGATGGCTCCCACCGGCTGATCGGGAATGGGGTTACAATGCAGTGAGGCGGAAAGGGTCTCGCCGGGGCAAGGAAAGATCCCCAGGGCCGCAAGGCGTGCTGTCGTCTGCAACGGCACGGACCCATGAGTCCACTGCCTCCCTCCTTCCTGGGTGGAGCAGGGGCCTGCCTTCATCTTCAAGGCCCGGGCGCTCCGGCATCCCGACGCAGCTTCTGGCGACACCGGCAAAGGCAGACAGAGGCGAGTCCGAGCTGGAGCCCGTGTGACCAAACGTGGCACTGACGTCCCCCAAGAGCACATGCAGTGAGCGTGTGTCTTTGAGGCCATAGGGGGCGACGACGAGACGGACAGTGATGTCCAGGCGTGCGCCCGGGGGCCACTGGAGACCTGCCCCACAAAGCGGAGGAAAAGCCAAGCGCACCTGCAAACCTGCGAGACAGGGCCTGTGCGCGAGTCCAGGCCACATTCAGGGAGGCCCGCCAGAGGAGCCCAGAGCTTTGGACCAAGTACACCCCACCCCCACGCCGCTACCGCTTAGGTACCCCTGACGCAACCTCCGCTGCACCCAGCCAAAACCCAGTCCCGTTGGCTCCCTGACATCCGTGGCAGCCAAAAGATTCAGTGCCAGAAGGCGCTTTCCCCAGGAGCGGAGGAACCGGTTGGCCCTCAAGTATCAGACAGGAAGTGCAGGTGGGCTGCAATACCGCCTTTCCTGGAAGGCCAATGTGGGGAACGGTGGGCTTGCCTCCCCCTCTTCCTGGACCGAGCGCGCAGCCATCACTTGGGCCATGGAGACCAAGAGAGCTTCCCTGTCCCACACAGGTATGGAAGCCCAGAGCTCCAGGATCACCACACCTGCCCAATCATCCAGAAAGAGGTGTCGAGAGGGAAACGATCACGACACGGACGCCCACGGGGTTTCTCCCTGATGGACTGGGAAGTCTTCTTTGTTGAAGACGTTGAGCCAGACTAAGAAGCCGCCAGGCTTCTCAGAGACGGGGCAGACACAGCAAGAGGGAGGACAGAGCAGAGGCCAGAGCCCAGGCAGGATACGGGGCCATGCCACCACAACGGGCATCCGGGGAGGAGTGTCAGACGGGTGACTCGGCCAGGAAGGCCAGCCTTTGAGTGACAGAGATGCTTGCCCCATCCCCTTGCCGGCTTCCTTCTCCGTCCCTGCGTCGAGCTGTGGCTCCATTTCTCCATGAGGGAGAGGGCGAGAGGCGTGAGAACCATCTTCTTGAAGGTCTGCGGGCACCCTCCTGCGGGTGGACAATGAGCGCCTGGGAGGCCGTTGTCCTTGCTTGGGGAGCGGTCGTCTGGATCTAGCCTAGCAAAGAGGCTGCTCCGGATGGGGAGGGGACGAAAACCCCTGCGGTTCCGAAGCAGATGCCGGCATTGCCCAGGCCCTCCCAGACCCCCAAACCGGAACCGCCGGGAAACCGACTGCTAACCGGCTACACGACCGAGGCAGAGACGCGGGGAGAGGCTGACCAGAAGAAAGGCCGACCTGCAAGAAACCCACCCTCCGGCACACGGGGCACATGTGTCCCGAGGCACAAGCACACACAGACGGACAGAGATAGAAAGAGAGGGCGACGGAAAGAGCGGGGGCGGGGAGAGAGAGAGAGAGACGTAAGAGATAGACAGAAGTGGGCACACGGACGCCACGCACGCACGCACACAGACACACACACACACACACACACACACACACAACCAAGACGCACACAGACATACAGCAGGTAACACCCACCCCCAGGCTGCCCCTGAAGCTGCCGGGTTCTGCTCTCCGCGACTACGAAGCCACCGGTGAGACAGCAGCCCACGGACACCCTGGCAGACCTGTCCTCCACATCAAAAGGGCGCTACTTTTGGGGAGACTCACCCGCACACCGTCCGTGCACGCCTGAGGCTGGGATCCCGTGCTGCGTCCCCGGCGATCTGTCTGAGGTTTCTTCCTCCTGGCGGACCCTCCGCGAATCCCAGCCTCCGGAGACCGTCCTGGTAACTGCCCTGGCCAGGACTGGTCTGAGCCCCGACTCTGACGCACAATCACACAGGGCTCCTACTTCGCCAAGTCTCAGGGACCCATCCCCGGGCAACGGTGGCGGTCACTGTGACCAAAGCGGCGGCTGGGGCCTCGCGCATGCGCACTGGCGAGGCCGACTCACCCGCCCCACCCCTCCTTACTCAGCAGAGTCAGGCTGCGGACCCTTTAAAAAATGGCGGCGACGCGGCGGCTGCGGGGACTGGGGAGGCGGTGCTGGAGGTTGCGGCGGCGGCGGCTGCGGCGCAGCCCGAGGCGGCGGGTGGGAAGAGGTCTACCAGAGGGGCCTGCGGGAGACCCAGGGTCGGACCCATAGGAGTCCTGTCGTCAGGACCTCCTTGATCGGTCTCCTGCTTCTGTTCCCGGTGAAGGAGGACCTTCGGGGTGCTGGCTGGGCTGCGCGGACTCCTCTTGGGATCCGATGATGGCTCCCACCGGCTGATCGGGAATGGGGTTACAATGCAGTGAGGCGGAAAGGGTCTCGCCGGGGCAAGGAAAGATCCCCAGGGCCGCAAGGCGTGCTGTCGTCTGCAACGGCACGGACCCATGAGTCCACTGCCTCCCTCCTTCCTGGGTGGAGCAGGGGCCTGCCTTCATCTTCAAGGCCCGGGCGCTCCGGCATCCCGACGCAGCTTCCGGCGACACCGGCAAAGGCAGACAGAGGCGAGTCCGAGCTGGAGCCCGTGTGACCAAACGTGGCACTGACGTCCCCCAAGAGCACATGCAGTGAGCGTGTGTCTTTGAGGCCGTAGGGGGCGACGACGAGACGGACAGTGATGTCCAGGCGTGCGCCCGGGGGCCACTGGAGACCTGCCCCACAAAGCGGAGGAAAAGCCAAGCGCACCTGCAAACCTGCGAGACAGGGCCTGTGCGCGAGTCCAGGCCACATTCAGGGAGGCCCGCCAGAGGAGCCCAGAGGTTTGGACCAAGTACACCCCACCCCCACGCCGCTACCGCTTAGGTACCCCTGACGCAACCTCCGCTGCACCCAGCAAAAACCCAGTCCCGTTGGCTCCCTGACATCCGTGGCAGCCAAAAGATTCAGTGCCAGAAGGCGCTTTCCCCAGGAGCGGAGGAACCGGTTGGCCCTCAAGGATCAGACAGGAAGTGCAGGTGGGCTGCAACACCGCCTTTCCTGGAAGGCCAATGTGGGGAACGGTGGGCTTGCCTCCCCCTCTTCCTGGACCGAGCGCGCAGCCATCACTTGGGCCATGGAGACCAAGAGAGCTTCCCTGTCCCACACAGGTATGGAAGCCCAGAGCTCCAGGATCACCACACCTGCCCAATCATCCAGAAAGAGGTGTGGAGAGGGAAACGATCACGACACGGACGCCCACGGGGTTTCTCCCTGATGGACTGGGAAGTCTTCTTTGTTGAAGACGTTGAGCCAGACTAAGAAGCCGCCAGGCTTCGCAGAGACGGGGCAGACACAGCAAGAGGGAGGACAGAGCAGAGGCCAGAGTCCAGGCAGGATACGGGGCCATGCCACCACCACGGGCATCCGGGGAGGAGTGTCAGACGGGTGACTCGGCCAGGAAGGCCAGCTTTTGAGTGACAGAGATGCTTGCCCCATCCCCTTGCCGGCTTCCTTCTCCGTCCCTGCGTCGAGCTGTGGCTCCATTTCTCCATGAGGGAGAGGGCGAGAGGCGTGAGAACCATCTTCTTGAAGGTCTGCGGGCACCCTCCTGCGGTTGAACAATGAGCGCCTGGGAGGCCGTTGTCCTTGCTTGTGGAGCGGTCGTCTGGATCTAGCCTAGCAAAGAGGCTGCTCCGGATGGGGAGGGGACGAAAACCCCTGCGGTTCCGACGCAGATGCCTGCGTTGCGCAGGCCTTCACAGACCCCCAAACCGGAACCGCCGGGAAACCGACTGCCATCCGGCCACACGACCCAGGCAGTGACGCGGGGAGGGCTGACCAGAAGAAAGGCCGACCTGCAAGAAACCCACCCTCCGGCGCACGGGGCACATGTGTCCCGAGGCACAAGCACACACAGACGGACAGAGATAGAAAGAGAGGGCGACGGAAAGAGCGGGGGCGGGGAGAGAGAGAGAGAGACGTAAGAGATAGAAGTGGGCACACAGACGCGCGCACGCACGCACACAGACACACACACACACACACACACACACACACACACAAACACACACAACCAAGACGCACACAGACATACAGCAGGTAACACCCACCCCCAGGCTGCCCCTGAAGCTGCCGGGTTCTGCTCTCCGAGACTACGAAGCCACCGGTGAGACAGCAGCCCACGGACACCCTGGTAGACCTGTCCTCCAAATCACAAGGGCGCCACTATTGGGGAGACTCACCCGCACACCGTCCCCGCAGGCCTGAGGCTGGGATCCCGTGCTGCGTCCCCGGCGATCTGTCTGAAGTTTCTTCCTTCTGGCGTTTCTTCCTCCAGGTTGACCCTCCGCGAATCCCGGCCTCCGGAGACCGTCCTGGTAACTGCCCTGGCCACGACTGGTCTGAGCCCCGACTCTGACGCACGATCACACAGGGCTCCTACTTCGCCAAGTCTCAGGGACCCATCCCCGGGCAACGGTGGCGGTCACTGTGACCAAAGCAGCGGCTGGGGCCTCGCGCATGCGCACTGGCGAGGCCGACTCACCCGCCCCACCCCTCCTTACTCAGCAGAGTCAGGCTGCGGACCCTTTAAAAAATGGCGGCGACGCGGCGGCTGCGGGGACTGAGGCGGCGGTGCTGGAGGTTGCGGCGGCGGTTGCGGCGCAGCCCGAGGCGGCGGGTGGGAAGAGGACTACCAGAGGGGCCTGCGGGAGACCCAGGGTCGGACCCATAGGAGTCCTGTCATCAGGACCTCCTTGATCGGTCTCCTGCTTCTGTTCCCGGTGAAGGAGGACCTTCGGGGTGCTGGCTGGGCTGCGCGGACACCTCTTGGGATCCGATGATGGCTCCCACCGGCTGATCGGGAATGAGGTCACTATGCAGTGAGGCGGAAAGGGTCTCGCCGGGGCACGGAAAGATCCCCAGGGCCGCAAGGCGTGCTGTCGTCTGCAACGGCACTGACCCATGAGCCCACTGCCTCCCTCCTTCCTGGGTGGAGCAGGGGCCTGCCTTCATCTCCAAGGCCCGGTGGCTCAGGCATCCCAACGCAGCTTCCGGCGACACCGGCAAAGACAGACAGAGGCGAGTCCGAGCTGGAGCCCGTGTGACCAAACGTGGCACTGACGTCCCCCAAGAGCACATGCAGTGAGCGTGTGTCTTTGAGGCCGTAGGGGGCGACGACGAGATGGACAGTGATGTCCAGGCGTGCGCCCGGGGGCCACTGGAGACCTGCCCCACAAAGCGGAGGAAAAGCCAAGCGCACCTGCAAACCTGCGAGACAGGGCCTGTGCGCGAGTCCAGGCCACATTCAGGGAGGCCCGCCAGAGGAGCCCAGAGCTTTGGACCAAGTACACCCCACCCCCACGCCGCTACCGCTTAGGTACCCCTGACGCAACCTCCCCTGCACCCAGCCAAAACCCAGTCCCGTTGGCTCCCTGACATCCGTGGCAGCCAAAAGATTCAGTGCCAGAAGGCGCTTTCCCCAGGAGCGGAGGGACCGGTTGGCCCTCAAGGATCAGACAGGAAGTGCAGGTGGGATGCAACACCGCCTTTCCTGGAAGGCCAATGTGGGGAACGGTGGGCTTGCCTCCCCCTCTTCCTGGACTGAGCGCGCAGCCATCACTTGGGCCATGGAGACCAAGAGAGCTTCCCTGTCCCACACAGGTATGGAAGCCCAGAGCTCCAGGATCACCACACCTGCCCAATCATGCAGAAAGAGGTGTCGAGAGGGAAACGATCATGACACGGACGCCCACGGGGTTTCTCCCTGGACTGGGAAGTCTTCTTTGTTGAAGACGTTGAGCCAGACTAAGAAGCCGCCATGCTTCTCAGAGACGGGGCAGACACAGCAAAAGGGAGGACAGAGCAGAGGCCAGAGCCCAGGAAGGATACGGGGCCATGCCACCACCACGGGCATCCGGGGAGGAGTGTCAGACGGGTGACTCGGCCAGGAAGGCCAGCCTTTGAGTGACAGAGATGCTTGCCCCATCCCCTTGCCGGCTTCCTTCTCCGTCCCTGCGTCGAGCTGTGGCTCCATTTCTCCATGAGGGAGAGGGCGAGAGGCGTGAGAACCATCCTCTTGAAGGTCTGCGGGCACCCTCCTGCGGGTGGACAATGAGCGCCTGGGAGGCCGTTGTCCTTGCTTGGGGAGCGGTCGTCTGGATCTAGCCTAGCAAAGAGGCTGCTCCGGATGGGGAGGGGACGAAAACCCCTGCGGTTCCGAAGGAGATGCCGGCATTGCCCAGGCCCTCACAGACCGCCAAACCGGAACCGCCGGGAAACCGACTGCTAACCGGCTACACGACCGAGGCAGAGACGCGGGGAGAGGCTGACCAGAAGAAAGGCCGACCTGCAAGAAACCCACCCTCCGGCACACGGGGCACATGTGTCCCGAGGCACAAGCACACACAGACGGACAGAGATAGAAAGAGAGGGCGACGGAAAGAGCGAGGGCGGGGAGAGAGAGAGAGAGACGTAAGAGATAGACAGAAGTGGGCACACGGACGCCACGCACGCACGCACACAGACACACACACACACACACACACACACACACACACACACACACACACAACCAAGACGCACACAGACATACAGCAGGTAACACCCACCCCCAGGCTGCCCCTGAAGCTGCCGGGTTCTGCTCTCCGCGACTACGAGGCCACCGGTGAGACAGCAGCCCACGGACACCCTGGCAGACCTGTCCTCCACATCACAAGGGCGCTACTTTTGGGGAGACTCACCTGCACACCGTCCGTGCACGCCTGAGGCTGGGATCCCGCGCTGCGTCCCCGGCGATCTGTCTGAGGTTTCTTCCTCCTGGCGGACCCTCCGCGAATCCCAGCCTCCGGAGACCGTCCTGGTAACTGCCCTGGCCAGGACTGGTCTGAGCCCCGACTCTGACGCACAATCACACAGGGCTCCTACTTCGCCAAGTCTCAGGGACCCATCCCCGGGCAACGGTGGCGGTCACTGTGACCAAAGCGGCGGCTGGGGCCTCGCGCATGCGCACTGGCGAGGCCGACTCACCCGCCCCACCCCTCCTTACTCAGCAGAGTCAGGCTGCGGACCCTTTAAAAAATGGCGGCGACGCGGCGGCTGCGGGGACTGGGGCGGCGGTGCTGGAGGTTGCGGCGGCGGCGGCTGCGGCGCAGCCCGAGGCGGCGGGTGGGAAGAGGTCTACCAGAGGGGCCTGCGGGAGACCCAGGGTCGGACCCATAGGAGTCCTGTCGTCAGGACCTCCTTGATCGGTCTCCTGCTTCTGTTCCCGGTGAAGGAGGACCTTCGGGGTGCTGGCTGGGCTGCGCGGACTCCTCTTGGGATCCGATGATGGCTCCCACCGGCTGATCGGGAATGGGGTTACAATGCAGTGAGGCGGAAAGGGTCTCGCCGGGGCAAGGAAAGATCCCCAGGGCCGCAAGGCGTGCTGTCGTCTGCAACGGCACGGACCCATGAGTCCACTGCCTCCCTCCTTCCTGGGTGGAGCAGGGGCCTGCCTTCATCTTCAAGGACCGGGCGTTCCGGCATCCCGACGCAGCTTCCGGCGACACCGGCAAAGGCAGACAGAGGCGAGTCCGAGCTGGAGCCCGTGTGACCAAACGTGGCACTGACGTCCCCCAAGAGCACATGCAGTGAGCGTGTGTCTTTGAGGCCGTAGGGGGCGACGACGGGACGGACAGTGATGTCCAGGCGTGCGCCCGGGGGCCACTGGAGACCTGCCCCACAAAGCGGAGGAAAAGCCAAGCGCACCTGCAAACCTGCGAGACAGGGCCTGTGCGCGAGTCCAGGCCACATTCAGGGAGGCCCGCCAGAGGAGCCGAGAGCTTTGGACCAAGTACACCCCACCCCCACGCCGCTACCGCTTAGGTACCCCTGACGCAACCTCCGCTGCACCCAGGCAAAACCCAGTCCCGTTGGCTCCCTGACATCCGTGGCAGCCAAAAGATTCAGTGCCAGAAGGCGCTTTCCCCAGGAGCGGAGGAACCGGTTGGCCCTCAAGGATCAGACAGGAAGTGCAGGTGGGCTGCAACACCGCCTTTCCTGGAAGGCCAATGTGGGGAA
The DNA here is from genome assembly GCF_000001405.40 of Homo sapiens. NCBI lineage: Eukaryota > Metazoa > Chordata > Mammalia > Primates > Hominidae > Homo > Homo sapiens. The sequence continues at coordinate 131,738,948 of NC_000004.12, read as the reverse complement.
CGGTGGGCTTGCCTCCCCCTCTTCCTGGACCGAGCGCGCAGCCATCACTTGGGCCATGGAGACCAAGAGAGCTTCCCTGTCCCACACAGGTATGGAAGCCCAGAGCTCCAGGATCACCACACCTGCCCAATCATCCAGAAAGTGGTGTGGAGAGGGAAACGATCACGACACGGACGCCCACGGGGTTTCTCCCTGATGGACTGGGAAGTCTTCTTTGTTGAAGACGTTGAGCCAGACTAAGAAGCCGCCAGGCTTCTCAGAGACGGGGCAGACACAGCAAGAGGGAGGACAGAGCAGAGGCCAGAGCCCAGGCAGGATACGGGGCCATGCCACCACAACGGGCATCCGGGGAGGAGTGTCAGACGGGTGACTCGGCCAGGAAGGCCAGCCTTTGAGTGACAGAGATGCTTGCCCCATCCCCTTGCCGGCTTCCTTCTCCGTCCCTGCGTCGAGCTGTGGCTCCATTTCTCCATGAGGGAGAGGGCGAGAGGCGTGAGAACCATCCTCTTGAAGGTCTGCGGGCACCCTCCTGCGGGTGGACAATGAGCGCCTGGGAGGCCGTTGTCCTTGCTTGGGGAGCGGTCGTCTGGATCTAGCCTAGGAAAGAGGCTGCTCCGGATGGGGAGGGGACGAAAACCCCTGCGGTTCCGAAGCAGATGCCGGCATTGCCCAGGCCCTCACAGACCCCCAAACCGGAACCGCCGGGAAACCGACTGCTAACCGGCTACACGACCGAGGCAGAGACGCGGGGAGAGGCTGACCAGAAGAAAGGCCGACCTGCAAGAAACCCACCGTCCGGCACACGGGGCACATGTGTCCCGAGGCACAAGCACACACAGACGGACAGAGATAGAAAGAGAGGGCGACGGAAAGAGCGGGGGCGGGGAGAGAGAGAGAGAGACGTAAGAGATAGACAGAAGTGGGCACACGGACGCCACGCACGCACGCACACAGACACACACACACACACAAACACACACACACACACACAACCAAGACGCACACAGACATACAGCAGGTAACACCCACCCCCAGGCTGCCCCTGAAGCTGTCGGGTTCTGCTCTCCGCGACTACGAGGCCACCGGTGAGACAGCAGCCCACGGACACCCTGGCAGACCTGTCCTCCACATCACAAGGGCGCCACTTTTGGGGAGACTCACCCGCACACCGTCCATGCACGCCTGAGGCTGGAATCCCGCGCTGCGTCCCCGGCGATCTGTCTGAGGTTTCTTCCTTCTGGCGTTTCTTCCTCCTGGTTGACCCTCCGCGAATCCCGGCCTCCGGAGACCGTCCTGGTAACTGCCCTGGCCACGACTGGTCTGAGCCCCGACTCTGACGCACGATCACACAGGGCTCCTACTTCGCCAAGTCTCAGGGACCCATCCCCGGGCAACGGTGGCGGTCACTGTGACCAAAGCGGCGGCTGGGGCCTCGCGCATGCGCACTGGCGAGGCCGACTCACCCGCCCCACCCCTCCTTACTCAGCAGAGTCAGGCTGCGGACCCTTTAAAAAATGGCGGCGACGCGGCGGCTGCGGGGACTGGGGCGGCGGTGCTGGAGGTTGCGGCGGCGGCGGCTGCGGCGCAGCCCGAGGCGGCGGGTGGGAAGAGGACTACCAGAGGGGCCTGCGGGAGACCCAGGGTCGGACCCATAGGAGTCCTGTCGTCAGGACCTCCTTGATCGGTCTCCTGCTTCTGTTCCCGGTGAAGGAGGATCTTCGGGGTGCTGGCTGGGCTGCGCGGACTCCTCTTGGGATCCGATGATGGCTCCCACCGGCTGATCGGGAATGGGGTTACAATGCAGTGAGGCGGAAAGGGTCTCGCCGGGGCAAGGAAAGATCCCCAGGGCCGCAAGGCGTGCTGTCGTCTGCAACGGCACGGACCCATGAGTCCACTGCCTCCCTCCTTCCTGGGTGGAGCAGGGGCCTGCCTTCATCTTCAAGGCCCGGGCGCTCCGGCATCCCGACGCAGCTTCCGGCGACACCGGCAAAGGCAGACAGAGGCGAGTCCGAGCTGGAGCCCGTGTGACCAAACGTGGCACTGACGTCCCCCAAGAGCACATGCAGTGAGCGTGTGTCTTTGAGGCCGTAGGGGGCGACGACGAGACGGACAGTGATGTCCAGGCGTGCGCCCGGGGGCCACTGGAGACCTGCCCCACAAAGCGGAGGAAAAGCCAAGCGCACCTGCAAACCTGCGAGACAGGGCCTGTGCGCGAGTCCAGGCCACATTCAGGGAGGCCCGCCAGAGGAGCCCAGAGCTTTGGACCAAGTACACCCCACCCCCACGCCGCTACCGCTTAGGTACCCCTGACGCAACCTCCGCTGCACCCAGCCAAAACCCAGTCCCGTTGGCTCCCTGACATCCGTGGCAGCCAAAAGATTCAGTGCCAGAAGGCGCTTTCCCCAGGAGCGGAGGAACCGGTTGGCCCTCAAGGATCAGACAGGAAGTGCAGGTGGGCTGCAACACCGCCTTTCCTGGAAGGCCAATGTGGGGAACGGTGGGCTTGCCTCCCCCTCTTCCTGGACCGAGCGCGCAGCCATCACTTGGGCCATGGAGACCAAGAGAGCTTCCCTGTCCCACACAGGTATGGAAGCCCAGAGCTCCAGGATCACCACACCTGCCCAATCATGCAGAAAGAGGTGTCGAGAGGGAAACGATCATGACACGGACGCCCACGGGGTTTCTCCCTGGACTGGGAAGTCTTCTTTGTTGAAGACGTTGAGCCAGACTAAGAAGCCGCCAGGCTTCTCAGAGACGGGGCAGACACAGCAAAAGGGAGGACAGAGCAGAGGCCAGAGCCCAGGCAGGATACGGGGCCATGGCAACACCACGGGCATCCGGGGAGGAGTGTCAGACGGGTGACTCGGCCAGGAAGGCCAGCCTTTGAGTGACAGAGATGCTTGCCCCATCCCCTTGCCGGCTTCCTTCTCCGTCCCTGCGTCGAGCTGTGGCTCCATTTCTCCATGAGGGAGAGGGCGAGAGGCGTGAGAACCATCCTCTTGAAGGTCTGCGGGCACCCTCCTGCGGGTGGACAATGAGCGCCTGGGAGGCCGTTGTCCTTGCTTGGGGAGCGGTCGTCTGGATCTAGCCTAGCAAAGAGGCTGCTCCGGATGGGGAGGGGACGAAAACCCCTGCGGTTCCGAAGCAGATGCCGGCATTGCCCAGGCCCTCACAGACCCCCAAACCGGAACCGCCGGGAAACCGACTGCTAACCGGCTACACGACCGAGGCAGAGACGCGGGGAGAGGCTGACCAGAAGAAAGGCCGACCTGCAAGAAACCCACCCTCCGGCACACGGGGCACATGTGTCCCGAGGCACAAGCACACACAGACGGACAGAGATAGAAAGAGAGGGCGACGGAAAGAGCGAGGGCGGGGAGAGAGAGAGAGAGACGTAAGAGATAGACAGAAGTGGGCACACGGACGCCACGCACGCACGCACACAGACACACACACACACACACACACACACACACACAACCAAGACGCACACAGACATACAGCAGGTAACACCCACCCCCAGGCTGCCCCTGAAGCTGCCGGGTTCTGCTCTCCGCGACTACGAGGCCACCGGTGAGACAGCAGCCCACGGACACCCTGGCAGACCTGTCCTCCACATCACAAGGGCGCTACTTTTGGGGAGACTCACCCGCACACCGTCCGTGCACGCCTGAGGCTGGGATCCCGTGCTGCGTCCCCGGCGATCTGTCTGAGGTTTCTTCCTTCTGGCGTTTCTTCCTCCTGGTTGACCCTCCGCGAATCCCGGCCTCCGGAGACCGTCCTGGTAACTGCCCTGGCCAGGACTGGTCTGAGCCCCGACTCTGACGCACGATCACACAGGGCTCCTACTTCGCCAAGTCTCAGGGACCCATCCCCGGGCAACGGTGGCGGTCACTGTGACCAAAGCGGCGGCTGGGGCCTCGCGCTTGCGCACTGGCGAGGCCGACTCACCCGCCCCACCCCTCCTTACTCAGCAGAGTCAGACTGCGGACCCTTTAAAAAATGGCGGCGACGCGGCGGCTGCGGGGACTGGGGCGGCGGTGCTGGACGTTGCGGCGGCGGCGGCTGCGGCGCAGCCCGAGGCGGCGGGTGGGAAGAGGACTACCAGAGGGGCCTGCGGGAGACCCAGGGTCGGACCCATAGGAGTCCTGTCGTCAGGACCTCCTTGATCGGTCTCCTGCTTCTGTTCCCGGTGAAGGAGGACCTTCGGGGTGCTGGCTGGGCTGCGCGGACTCCTCTTGGGATCCGATGATGGCTCCCACCGGCTGATCGGGAATGAGGTCACTATGCAGTGAGGCGGAAAGGGTCTCGCCGGGGCACGGAAAGATCCCCAGGGCCGCAAGGCGTGCTGTCGTCTGCAACGGCACTGACCCATGAGTCCACTGCCTCCCTCCTTCCTGGGTGGAGCAGGGGCCTGCCTTCATCTCCAAGGCCCGGGGGCTCCGGCATCCCAACGCACCTTCCGGCGACACCTGCAAAGTCAGACAGAGGCGAGTCCGAGCTGGAGCCCGTGTGACCAAACGTGGCACTGACGTCCCCCAAGAGCACATGCAGTGAGCGTGTGTCTTTGTGGCCGTAGGGGGCGACGACGAGACGGACAGTGATGTCCAGGCGTGCGCCCGGGGGCCACTGGAGACCTGCCCCACAAAGCGGAGGAAAAGCCAAGCGCGCCTGCAAACCTGCGAGACAGGGCCTGTGCGCGAGTCCAGGCCACATTCAGGGAGGCCCGCCAGAGGAGCCCAGAGCTTTGGACCAAGTACACCCCACCCCCACGCCGCTACCGCTTAGGTACCCCTGACGCAACCTCCCCTGCACCCAGCCAAAACCCAGTCCCGTTGGCTCCCTGACATCCGTGGCAGCCAAAAGATTCAGTGCCAGAAGGCGCTTTCCCCAGGAGCGGAGGAACCGGTTGGCCCTCAAGGATCAGACAGGAAGTGCAGGTGGGATGCAACACCGCCTTTCCTGGAAGGCCAATGTGGGGAACGGTGGGCTTGCCTCCCCCTCTTCCTGGACCAAGCGCGGAGCCATCACTTGGGCCATGGAGACCAAGAGAGCTTCCCTGTCCCACACAGGTATGGAAGCTCAGAGCTCCAGGATCACCACACCTGCCCAATCATCCAGAAAGAGGTGTGGAGAGGGAAACGATCATGACACGGACGCCCACGGGGTTTCTCCCTGATGGACTGGGAAGTCTTCTTTGTTGAAGACGTTGAGCCAGACTAAGCCGCCAGGCTTCGCAGAGACGCGGCAGACACAGCAAGAGGGAGGACAGAGCAGAGGCCAGAGCCCAGGCAGGATACGGGGCCATGCCACCACCACGGGCATCCGGGGAGGAGTGTCAGACGGGTGACTCGGCCAGGAAGGCCAGCCTTTGAGTGACAGAGATGCTTGCCCCATCCCCTTGCCGGCTTCTTTTTCCGTCCCTGCGTCGAGCTGTGGCTCCATTTCTCCATGAGGGAGAGGGCGACAGGCGTGAGAACCATCTTCTTGAAGGTCTGCGGGCACCCTCCTGCGGTTGGACAATGAGCGCCTGGGAGGCCGTTGTCCTTGCTTGGGGAGCGGTCGTCTGGATCTAGCCTAGCAAAGAGGCTGCTCCGGATGGGGAGGGGACGAAAACCCCTGCGGTTCCTACGCAGATGCCCACGTTGCTCAGGTCTTCACAGACCCCCAAACCGGAACCGCCGGGAAACCGACTGCCAACCGGCCACACGACCCAGGCAGTGACGCGGGGAGAGGCTGACCAGAAGAAAGGCCGACCTGCAAGAAACCCACCCTCCGGCGCACGGGGCACATGTGTCCCGAGGCACAAGCACACACAGACGGACAGAGATAGAAAGAGAGGGCGACGGAAAGAGCGAGGGGGGCGGAGAGAGAGAGAGAGACGTAAGAGATAGAAGTGGGCACACAGACGCGCGCACGAACGCACACAGACACACACAGAAACACACACACACACACACACATACAACCAAGACGCACACAGACATACAGCAGGTAACACCCACCCCCAGGCTGCCCCTGAAGCTGCCGGGTTCTGCTCTCCGCGACTACGAAGCCACCGGTGAGACAGCAGCCCACGGACACCCTGGCAGACCTGTCCTCCACATCACAAGGGCGCCACTTTTGGGGAGACTCACCCGCACACCGTCCGCACACGCCTGAGGCTGGGATCCCGCGCTGCGTCCCCGGCGATCTGTCTGAGGTTTCTTCCTTCTGGCGTTTCTTCCTGGTGGTGGACCCTCCGCGAATCCCGGCCTCCGGACACCGTCCTGGTAACTGCCCTGGCTAGGACTGGTCTCAGCCCCGACTCTGACGCACGATCACACAGGGCTCCTACTTCGCCAAGACTCAGGGACCCATCCCCGGGCAACGGTGGCGGTCACTGTGACCAAAGCGGCGGCTGGGGCCTCGCGCATGCGCACTGGCGAGGCCGACTCACCCGCCCCACCCCTCCTTACTCAGCAGAGTCAGGCTGCGGACCCTTTAAAAAATGGCGGCGACGCGGCGACTGCGGGGACTGGGGCGGCGGTGCTGGAGGTTGCGGCGGCGAAGGCTGCGACGCAGCCCGAGGCGGCGGGTGGGAAGAGGACTACCAGAAGGGCCTGCGGGAGACCCAGGGTCGGACCCATAGGAGTCCTGTCGTCAGGACCTCCTTGATCGGTCTCCTGCTTCTGTTGCCGGTGAAGGAGGACCTTCGGGGTGCTGGCTGGGCTGCGCGGACTCCTCTTGGGATCCGTTGATGGCTCCCACCGGCTGATCGGGAATGGGGTTACAATGCAGTGAGGCGGAAAGGGTCTCGCCGGGGCACGGAAAGATCCCCAGGGCCGCAAGGCGTGCTGTCGTCTGCAATGGCACTGACCCATGAGCCCACTGCCTCCCTCCTTCCTGGGTGGAGCAGGGGCCTGCCTTCATCTCCGACGCCCGGGGGCTCCGGCATCCCGACGCAGCTTCCGGCGACACCGGCAAAGACAGACAGAGGCGAGTCCTAGCTGCAGCCCGTGTGACCAAACGTGGCACTGACGTCCCCCAAGAGCACATGCAGTGAGCGTGTGTCTTTGAGGCCGTAGGGGGCGACGACGAGACGGACAGTGATGTCCAGGCGTGCGCCCGGGGGCCACTGGAGACCTGCCCCACAAAGCGGAGGAAAAGCCAAGCGCACCTGCAAACCTGCGAGACAGGGCCTGTGCGCGAGTCCAGGCCACATTCAGGGAGGCCCGCCAGAGGAGCCTAGAGCTTTGGACCAAGTACACCCCACCCCCACGCCGCTACCGCTTAGGTACCCCTGACGCAACCTCCCCTGCACCCAGCCAAAACCCAGTCCCGTTGGCTCCCTGTCATCCGTGGCAGCCAAAAGATTCAGTGCCAGAAGGCGCTTTCCCCAGGAGCGGAGGAACCGGTTGGCCCTCAAGGATCAGACAGGAAGTGCAGGTGGGATGCAACACCGCCTTTCCTGGAAGGCCAATGTGGGGAACGGTGGGCTTGCCTCCCCCTCTTCCTGGACCGAGCGCGCAGCCATCACTTGGGCCATGGAGACCAAGAGAGCTTCCCTGTCCCACACAGGTATGGAAGCCCAGAGCTCCAGGATGACCACACCTGCCCAATCATCCAGAAAGAGGTGTGGAGAGGGAAACGATCATGACACGGACGCCCACGGGGTTTCTCCCTGATGGACTGGGAAGTCTTCTTTGTTGAAGACGTTGAGCCAGACTAAGAAGCCGCCAGGCTTCGCAGAGACGGGGCAGACACAGCAAGAGGGAGGACAGAGCAGAGGCCAGAGCCCAGGCAGGATACGGGGCCATGCCACCACCACGGGCATCCGGGGAGGAGTGTCAGACGGGTGACTCGGCCAGGAAGGCCAGCCTTTGAGTGACAGAGATGCTTGCCCCATCCCCTTGCCGGCTTCCTTCTCCGTCCCTGCGTCGAGCTGTGGCTCCATTTCTCCCTGAGGGAGAGGGGGAGAGGCGTGAGAACCATCTTCTTGAAGGTCTGCGGGCACCCTCCTGCGATTGGACAATGAGCGCCTGGGAGGCCGTTGTCCTTGCTTGGGGAGCGGTCGTCTGGATCTAGCCTAGCAAAGAGGCTGCTCCGGATGGGGAGGGGACGAAAACCCCTGCGGTTCCGAGGCAGATGCCCGCGTTGCGCAGGCCTTCACAGACCCCCAAACCGGAACCGCCGGGAAACCGACTGCCAACCGGCCACACGACCCAGGCAGAGACACGGGGAGAGGCTGACCAGAAGAAAGGCCGACCTGCAAGAAACCCACCCTCCGGCGCACGGGGCACATGTGTCCCGAGGCACAAGCACACACAGACGGACAGAGATAGAAAGAGAGGGCGATGGAAAGAGCGAGGGGGGGGAGAGAGAGAGAGAGAGACGTAAGAGATAGAACTGGGCACACAGACTCACGCACGCACGCACACAGACACACACAGACACACAGACACACACACACACACACACAACCAAGACGCACACAGACATACAGCAGGTAACACCCACCCCCAGGCTGCCCCTGAAGCTGCTGGGTTCTGCTCTCCGCGACTACGAAGCCACCGGTGAGACAGCAGCCCACGGACACCCTGGCAGACCTGTCCTCCACATCACAAGGGCGCTACTTTTGGGGAGACTCACCCGCACACCGTCCGCGCACGCCTGAGGCTAGGATCCCGCGCTGCGTCCCCGGCGATCTGTCTGAGGTTTCTTCCTCCTGGCGTTTCTTCCTGCTGGTGGACCCTCCGCGAATCCCGGCCTCCGGAGACCAACCTGGTAACTGCCCTGGCCAGGACTGGTCTTAGCCCCGATTCTGACGCACGATCACACAGGGCTCCTACTTCGCCAAGTCTCAGGGACCCATCCCCGGGCAACGGTGGCGGTCACTGTGACCAAAGCGGCGGCTCGGGGCTCGCGCATGCGCACTGGCGAGGCCGACTCACCCGCCCCACCCCCCCTTACTCAGCAGAGTCAGGCTGCGGACCCTTTAAAAAATGGCGGTGACGCGGCTGCCGGGACTGGGGCGGCGGTGCTGGAGGTTGCGGCGGCGGCGGCTTCGGCGCAGCCCGAGGCGGCGGGTGGGAAGAGGACTACCAGAGGGGCCTGCGGGAGACCCAGGGTCGGACCCATAGGAGTCCTGTCGTCAGGACCTCCTTGATCGGTCTCCTGCTTTGGTTCCCGGTGAAGGAGGACCTTCGGGGTGCTGGCTGGGCTGCGCGGACTCCTCTTGGGATCCGATGATGGCTCCCACCGGCTGATCGGGAATGGGGTTACAATACAGTGAGGCGAAAAGGGTCTCGCCGGGGCACAGAAAGATCCCCAGGGCCGCAAGGCGTGCTGTCGTCTGCAACAGCACTGACCCATGAGCCCACTGCCTCCCTCCTTCCTGGATAGAGCAGGGGCCTGCCTTCATCTCCAAGGCCCGGGGGCTCCGGCATCCCGACGCGCCTTCCGGCGACACCGGCGACACCGGCAAAGACAGACAGAGGCGAGTCCGAGCTGGAGCCCGTGTGACCAAACGTGGCACTAAAGTCCCCCAAGAGCCCATGCAGTGAGCGTGTGTCTTTCAGGCCGTAAGGGACGACGACGAGACGGACAGTGATGTCCAGGCGTGCGCCCGGGGGGCCACTGCAGACCTGCCCCACAAAGCGGAGGAAAAGCCAAGCGCACCTGCAAACCTGCGAGACAGGGCCTGCGCGCGAGTCCAGGCCACATTCAGGGAGGCCCGCCAGAGGAGCCCAGAGCTTTGGACCAAGTACACCCCACCCCCACGCCGCTACCGCTTAGGTACCCCTGACGCAACCTCCCCTGCACCCAGCCAAAACCCAGTCCCGTTGGCTCCCTGACATCCGTGGCAGCCAAAAGATTCCGTGCCAGAAGGCGCTTTCCCCAGGAGCGGAGGAACCGGTTGGCCCTCAAGGATCAGACAGGAAGTGCAGGTGGGATGCAACACCGCCTTTCCTGGAAGGCCAATGTGGGGAACGGTGGGCTTGCCTCCCCCTCTTCCTGGACCGAGCGCGCAGCCATCACTTGGGCCATGGAGACCAAGAGAGCTTCCCTGTCCCACACAGGTATGGAAGCCCACAGCTCCGGGATCACCACACCTGCCCAACCATCCAGAAAGAGGTGTGGAGAGGGAAACGATCATGACACGGACGCCCACGGGGTTTCTCCCTGATGGACTGGGAAGTCTTCTTTGTTGAAGACGTTGAGCCAGACTAAGAAGCCGCCAGGCTTCTCAGAGACGGGGCAGACACAGCAAGAGGGAGGACAGAGCAGAGGCCAGAGCCCAGGCAGGATACGGGGCCATGCCACCACCACGGGCATCCGGGGAGGAGTGTCAGACGGGTGACTCGGCCAGGAAGGCCAGCCTTTGAGTGACAGAGATGCTTGCCCCATCCCCTTGCCGGCTTCCTTCTCCATCCCTGCGTCGAGCTGTGGCTCCATTTCTCCATGAGGGAGAGGGCGAGAGGCGTGAGAACCATCTTCTTGAAGGTCTGCGGGCACCCTCCTGCGGGTGGACAATGAGCGCCTGGGAGGCCGTTGTCCTTGCATGGGGAGCGGTCGTCTGGGTCTAGCCTAGCAAAGAGGCTGCTCCGGATGGGGAGGGGACGAAAACCCCTGCGGTTCCGACGCAGATGCCCGCGTTGCGGAGGCCTTCACAGACCCCCAAACCGGAACTGCCGGGAAACCGACTGCCAACCGGCCACACGACCCAGGCAGTGACGCGGGGAGAGGCTGACCAGAAGAAAGGCCGACCTGCAAGAAACCCACCCTCCGGCGCACGGGGCACATGTGTCCCGAGGCACAAGCACACACAGACGGACAGAGATAGAAAGAGAGGGCGGCGGAAAGAGCGAGAGGGGGGAGAGAGAGAGAGAGACGTAAGAGATAGAAGGCACACAGACGCGCGCACGCACACACACAAACACACACACACACACACACACACACAACCAAGACGCACACAGACATACAGCAGGTAACACCCACCCCCAGGCTGCCCCTGAAGCTGCCGGGTTCTGCTCTCCGCGACTACGAAGCCACCGGTGAGACAGCAGCCCACGGACACCCTGGCAGACCTGTCCTCCACATCACAAGGGCGCCACTTTTGGGGAGACTCACCCGCACACCGTCCGCGCACGCCTGAGGCTGGGATCCCGCGCTGCCTCCCCGGCGATCTGTCTGAGGTTTCTTCCTTCTGGCGTTTCTTCCTGCTGGTGGACCCTCCGCGAATCCCGGCCTCCGGAGACCGTCCTGGTAACTGCCCTGGCCAGGACTGGTCTCAGCCCCGACTCTGACGCACGATCACACAGGGCTCCTACTTCGCAAAGTCTCAGGGACCCATCCCCGGGCAACGGTGGCGGTCACTGTGATCCAAGCGGCGACTCGGGCCTCGCGCATGCGCACTGGCGAGGCCGACTCAGCCGCCCCACCCCCCCTTACTCGGCAGCATCAGGCTGCGGACCCTTTAAAAAATGGCGGCGACGCGGCGGCTGCGGGGACTGGGGCGGCGGTGCTGGAGGTTGCGGCGGTGGCGGCTGCGGCGCAGCCCGAGGCGGCGGGTGGGAAGAGGACTACCAGAGGGGCCTGCGGGAGACCCAGGGTCGGACCCATAGGAGTCCTGTCGTCAGGACCTCCTTGATCGGTCTCCTGCTTCTGTTCCCGGTGAAGGAGGACCTTCGGGGTGCTGGCTGGGCTGCGCGGACTCCTCTTGGGATCCGATGATGGCTCCCACCTGCTGATCGGGAATGGGGTTACAATGCAGTGAGGCGGAAAGGGTCTCGCCGGGGCACGGAAAGATCCGCAAGGCCGCAAGGCGTGCTGTCGTCTGCAACGGCACTGACCCATGAGCCCACTGCCTCCCTCCTTCCTGGGTGGAGCAGGGGCCTGCCTTCATCTCCAAGGCCCGGGGGCTCCGGCATCCCGACGCAGCTTCCGGCGACACCTGCAAAGGCAGACAGAGGCGAGTCCGAGCTGGAGCCCGTGTGACCAAACGTGGCACTGACGTCCCCCAAGAGCACATGCAGTGAGCGTGTGTCTTTGAGGCCGTAGGGGGCGACGACGAGACGGACAGTGATGTCCAGGCGTGCGCCCGGGGGCCACTGGAGACCTGCCCCACAAAGCGGAGGAAAAGCCAAGCGCACCTGCAAACCTGCGAGACAGGGCCAGTGCGCGAGTCCAGGCCACATTCAGGGAGGCCCGCCAGAGGAGCCCAGAGCTTTGGACCAAGTACACCTCACCTCCACACCGCTACCGCTTAGGTACCCGTGACGCAACCTCCCCTGCACCCAGCCAAAACCCAGTCCCGTTGGCTCCCTGACATCCGTGGCAGCCAAAACATTCAGTGCCAGAAGGCGCTTTCCCCAGGAGCGGAGGAACCGGTTGGCCCTCAAGGATCAGACAGGAAGTGCAGGTGGGATGCAACACCGCCTTTCCTGGAAGGCCAATGTGGGGAACGGTGGGCTTGCCTCCCCCTCTTCCTGGACCGAGCGCGCAGCCATCACTTGGGCCATGGAGACCAAGAGAGCTTCCCTGTCCCACACAGGTATGGAAGCCCAGAGCTCCAGGATCACCACACCTGCCCAATCATCCAGAAAGAGGTGTGGAGAGGGAAACGATCATGACACGGACGCCCACGGGGTTTCTCCCTGATGGACTGCGAAGTCTTCTTTGTTGAAGACGTTGAGCCAGACTAAGAAGCCGCCAGGCTTCTCAGAGACGGGGCAGACACAGCAAGAGGGAGGACAGAGCAGAGGCCAGAGCCCAGGCAGGATACGGGGCCATGCCACCACCACGGGCATCCGGGGAGGAGTGTCAGACGGGTGACTCGGCCAGGAAGGCCAGCCTTTGAGTGACAGAGATGCTTGCCCCATCCCCTTGCCGGCTTCCTTCTCCGTCCCTGCGTCGAGCTGTGGCTCCATTTCTCCATGAGGGAGAGGGCGAGAGGCGTGAGAACCATCTTCTTGAATGTCTGCGGGCACCCTCCTGCGGGTGGACAATGAGCGCCTGGGAGGCCGTTGTCCTTGCTTGGGGAGCGGTCGTCTGGATCTAGCCTAGCAAAGAGGCTGCTCCGGATGGGGAGTGGACGAAAACCCCTGAGGTTCCGAAGCAGATGCCGGCGTTGCCCAGGCCCTCACAGACCCCCAAACCGGAACCGCCGGGAAACCGACTGCTAACCGGCCACACGACCGAGGCAGAGACGCGGGGAGAGGCTGACCAGAAGAAAGACCGACCTTCAAGAAACCCACCCTCCGGCGCACGGGGCACATGTGTCCCAAGGCACACGCACACACAGACAGACAGAGATAGAAAGAGAGGGCGACGGAAAGAGCGAGAGGGGGGAGAGAGAGAGAGAGACGTAAGAGATAGACAGAAGTGGGCACACAGACGCGCACACGCACGCACACAGACACAAACACACACACACACACACACACACACACACACACACACACACAACCAAGACGCACACAGACATACAGCAGGTAACACCCACCCCCAGGCTGCCCCTGAAGCTGCCGGGTTCTGCTCTCCGCGACTAAGAGGCCACCGGTGAGACAGCAGCCCACGGACACCCTGGCAGACCTGTCCTCCACATCACAAGGGCGCCACTTTTGGGGAGACTCACCCGCACACCGTCCGTGCACGCCTGAGGCTGGGATCCCGCGCTGCGTCCCCGGCGATCTGTCTGAGGTTTCTTCCTCCTGGCGTTTCTTACTGCTGGTGGACCCTCCGCGAATCCCGGCCTCCGGAGACCGTCCTGGTAAGTGCCCTGGCCAGGACTGGTGTCAGCCCCGACTCTGACGCACAATCACACAGGGCTCCTACTTCGCCAAGTCTCAGGGACCCATCCCCCGGCAACGGTGGCGGTCACTGTGACCAAAGCGGCGGCTGGGGCCTCGCGCATGCGCACTGGCGAGGCCGACTCACCCGCCCCACCCCTCCTTACTCAGCAGAGTCAGGCTGCGGACCCTTTAAAAAATGGCGGAGACGCGGCGGCTGCGGGGACTGGGGCGGCGGTCCTGGAGGTTGCGGCGGCGGCGGCTGCGGCGCAGCCCGAGGCGGCGGGTGGGAAGAGGACTACCAGAGGGGCCTGCGGGAGACCCAGGGTCGGACCCATAGGGGTCCTGTCGTCAGGACCTCCTTGATCGGTCTCCTGCTTCTGTTCCCGGTGAAGGAGGACCTTCGGGGTGCTGGCTTGGCTGCGCGGACGCCTCTTGGGATTCGATGATGGCTCCCACCCGCTGATCGGGAATGGGGTTACAATGCAGTGAGGCGGAAAGGGTCTCGCCGGGGCACGGAAAGATCCCCAAGGCCGCAAGGCGTGCTGTCGTCTGCAACGGCACTGACCCATGAGTCCACTGCCTCCCTCCTTCCTGGGTGGAGCAGGGGCCTGCCTTCATCTCCGACGCCCGGGGGCTCCGGCATCCCGACGCAGCTTCCGGCGACACCTGCAAAGGCAGACAGAGGCGAGTCCGAGCTGGAGCCCGTGTGACCAAACGTGGCACTGACGTCCCCCAAGAGCACATGCAGTGAGCGTGTGTCTTTGAGGCCGTAGGGGGCGACGACGAGACGGACAGTGATGTCCAGGCGTGCGCCCGGGGGCCACTGGAGACCTGCCCCACAAAGCGGAGGAAAAGCCAAGCGCACCTGCAAACCTGCGAGACAGGGCCTGTGCGCGAGTCCAGGCCACATTCAGGGAGGCCCGCCAGAGGAGCCCAGAGCTTTGGACCAAGTACACCCCACCCCCACGCCGCTACCGCTTAGGTACCCCTGACGCAACCTCCGCTGCACCCAGCCAAAACCCAGTCCCGTTGGCTCCCTGACATCCGTGGCAGCCAAAAGATTCAGTGCCAGAAGGCGCTTTCCCCAGGAGCGGAGGGACCGGTTGGCCCTCAAGGATCAGACAGGAAGTGCAGGTGGGATGCAACACCGCCTTTCCTGGAAGGCCAATGTGGGGAACGGTGGGCTTGCCTCCCCCTCTTCCTGGACCGAGCGCGCAGCCATCACTTGGGCCATGGAGACCAAGAGAGCTTCCCTGTCCCACACAGGTATGGAAGCCCAGAGCTCCAGGTTCACCACACCTGCCCAATCATCCAGAAAGAGGTGTGGAGAGGGAAACGATCATGACACGGACGCCCACGGGGTTTCTCCCTGATGGACTGCGAAGTCTTCTTTGTTGAAGACGTTGAGCCAGACTAAGAAGCCGCCAGGCTTCTCAGAGACGGGGCAGACACAGCAAGAGGGAGGACAGAGCAGAGGCCAGAGCCCAGGCAGGATACGGGGCCATGCCACCACCCCGGGCATCCGGGGAGGAGTGTCAGACGGGTGACTCGGCCAGGAAGGCCAGCCTTTGAGTGACAGAGATGCTTGCCCCATCCCCTTGCCGGCTTCCTTCTCCGTCCCTGCGTCGAGCTGTGGCTCCATTTCTCCATGAGGGAGAGGGCGAGAGGCGTGAGAACCATCTTCTTGAAGGTCTGCGGGCACCCTCCTGCGGGTGGACAATGAGCGCCTGGGAGGCCGTTGTCCTTGCTTGGGGAGCGGTCGTCTGGATCTAGCCTAGCAAAGAGGCTGCTCCGGATGGGGAGGGGACGAAAACCCCTGCGGCTCCGAAGCAGATGCCGGCATTGCCCAGGCCCTCACAGACCCCCAAACCGGAACCGCCGGGAAACCGACTGCCAACCGGCCACATGACCCAGGCAGAGACGCGGGGAGAGGCTGACCAGAAGAAAGGCCGACCTGCAAGAAACCCACCCTCCGGCGCACAGGGCACATGTGTCCCAAGGCACAGACACAGATGGGCACATACTGATGGGCAGAGATAGAAAGAGCGGGCAATGGAAAGAGCGCGAAAGGAGAGAGAGATAAATAGAGTCGTAAGAGGGAGTCAGAAGTGGTCACACAGACAGGCACTCGCGCAGGCACACAGACAGACACACACATACACATATACACACACACATACACACCCATAACGCGCACAGACATACAGTAGGTAATACACAGAAGACATACACAGAAGCCGAGCAGATGCATCATGCTTTCTGTATAACGTGCAGATCCATGAGCCAATTAAACTGTTTTCCTTTGTAAATTACCCAGTCTCAGTTATTTCTTTAGAGCAATGTAAGAAAGGACTAATATCGAGAATTGGTAGAGGAATATGATATTGTTGTAAACATACCGGAAAATGTGAAAGTGGCTTTGAAACTGGATAGTGGAGAGAGGTTGGCAGGGTTCGGAGAGATCAGAAGAAGACAGGAAGATGAGGGCACGTTTTGAACTTACTAGAGTCTTGTTACATTGTTGTGACCAAGCTACTGATAGAGACACACAATGAAGTCCAGGCTGAGGAGGTCTCAGTTGGAGATAAGGAACTTAATGGGAACTGGAGCAAAGGTCACTTTAGTTAGGCATTAGCAAAAAGGTTGGATGCACTGTGCACCTGCCCTAGGGATCTGTCGAATTTTGAGCTTGAGAGTATCTCAAGTTCTGGTGGGTATCTGGTGGAAAAAATTTCTAAGCAGCAAAGCATTCAGGAAGTAATCTCGCTACTTCTAACAAACTATTTTGGTGTGTGTGAGCAAAGAAATGACCTCAAACTGAAACTTATATTTAGAAGGTAAGCAGAGTGTAGAAACTTGAAAAATTTGCAGCCTGGCCATGTGGTAGAACAAAAAGTCCATTTTCAGGAGAGAAATTCAAGCAAGCTGCAGAAACTTGGTTAACTAAAAGGAAGGCAAATGCTGATAGCCAGGAAAATGATGAATACCTTCCAGGGCATTTCAGAGACCTTTGTGGAAGCTCCTCCCATCACAGGCTCAGAGGACAACGAAGGAAGAATGGTTTCGTGGCCCAGGCCTAGGGCCCCACTGCCCTGTGCAGCCTTGAGACACTACTATATGCATCTCATCTGTTCCAGCTCTAGCCATGGCTCCAAGTGGCCCAGGTACAGCTCAGGCTGCTGCTCCAGAGGGTTCAAGCCATAAGTCTTGATGGCTTCCATGTGGCATTAAGCCTGAGGGTGCCCAGAGTACAAGAGTTGAGGCTAGATTTCAGAGAATGTATGAACAAACCTAGATGTACAGTCAGAAATCTGCTGCAGGGTCAGAGCCCTGATGGAGAATCTCTACGAGGGCACTGAAGAGGGGAAAGGTGGGATTGAAGCCACCACACAGTGTCCCTACTGGACCACTATCTAGTGGAGCTATGAGAAGAGGGACACTATCTTCCAGACCCCAGAATGGTAGATCCACCAGCACTTGTACTGTGTGCCTGGAAATGGTGTAAGCACTCAACACCAGCCCTTGAGAGCAGCTGTAGGAGCTGAACCCTGCAAAGTCACAGGAGTGGAGCAGCAGAAGACTTTGGGAGCTCGCCCCTTGCAGTGGTATGCCCTGGATGGTGTCAAAGGAGATTGTTAAGCTTTAAGACTTAATAACTTCCCTACTGGCTTTCAGACTTGCATCGGGCCCGTAGCCCCTTACTTTTGGCCAATTTCTCCCTTTTGAAATGGGAGTATTTACCCAATCCCTGTACCCCCATTATACATTATATCTTGGGAGGTTTTTGTTTTTTTTTTTTTAAATCTTACAGGGTCTTAGGCAGAAGGGGCTTGCCTGATCTCAGATAAGACTTTAGACTTTGGATGTTTGAGTTAATGCTGAAGTGAGTTAAGACTTTGGGGGACTGATGGGAAGGCATGACTGTATTTCGCAAACTGAGAAAGACATAAAATTTGGGAGGGACTAGGGCAAAATAATATGGTTTGGATCTATGTCCCCAACCAAATCTCATGTCAAATTGTAATCCCCAGTGTTGGAGGTGGGGCCTGATGGGAGGTTATTGGATTGTGGAGTGGTTTCTCTTTAATGGTTTAATACCATTTCCTTGGTGCTATTCTTATGATAGTGAGTGAGTGAGTTATTATGAAATCTGGTTGTTAAAATGGTGTAGCACCTCCCCACCTCTCACTTTTCTTCTTGCTCCCAGCTATATGAAGCATCGGCTCCCTCTTCATTTTCCCACCATGGTTATACATTTCATGAGGCCTCCCCAGATGCCCAGCAGATGCAACATTCTTTCTGTACAGCATGCAGAACTGTGAGTCAATTAAACCTCTTTTCTTTATAAATTACCCAATCTCAGGTATTTCTTTATAGCAATGCAATAATGGACTAATACACACCTAATAATATTATTTCCTTGAATCATGTAATCAATTACCAAAATCCTCTGTGCGAAATGGCTGGTTTCCTTTTATTGGTGGTTAACTGCTAATTAAACAATATTTTTGGTGTTTCAATTTTGTTGTTACTATTGTTCAAAGCTTGTACAAAGCCTCCATCAAGTAGTCCAATTCTCCAGCTTCTGTCACTCCTGGACAACATTTGTATTTAAAAATACCTTTCAGCCAGGTGACACACACCTGTTGTCCCAGCTACTCAGGATGCTGAGGCAGGAGGAACACTTGAGCCCAGGAGTTCTGGGTTGTATGCACTATGCTGATGAAGTGTCTGCACTAAGTTTGGCATCAATATGTTAGCTTCCAGGGAGCAGAGGACTACCAGGTTGCCTAAGGAGTGGTCAACTCAAAAACTGAGCATAAAAAAACTCCTCTGCTTATCAGTAGTGGGATGAGTCCTTTGAATAGTCACTGCACTACAACCTGGGCAACATAGTGAGACCCTATTTCTTAACAAAAAAAAAGAAAGAAATACTTTCCATATTTCTGCAAGTATGTGAGTTATCTTTGGTGTAGTGTTACCTTTTTGCAGTGAATGAAGTGTAATAACCTCTTGCTCATTTTGTTTACAAAAATAAATAAATAAATAAATAAATAAAAGCAGGGACATTCTAAGTGGAATCAAGTTCCAAGTAATACAGACAATACTATTTATAGAATAATTCAATTTTATGATATATTTCATGTGTTGCTATCCTCAGTTATATTTACTCATGTATACTTACACTTGTCAATGTCCTAGCTATAATCACGTATTTTTAGATTTTAATAAATATAATTAAATAGCGTTTCTATTTTTATAACAAGTTCTAAAATTAAGCCACAGTTGAAAATTCATAAGATTAAGTTTGATTTTTATTTCACTTTTATATGTATGAATCTTAAGAATTTGGTATTTCCTATCTAATATTTGTCTTTCTGTTCTTGGAAACTAATTTCAAATTATTTACAAGTTTCAGAAGTATGCAGCCAGTGAAGAATCCAATATCATTTTGTTCAATCTACCTATAATTTGAACTTAAATATGTATACTTCCACAAATGTCACTGAAGCAAGTATTTCAAGTATTTATTTCCAGGTATAATTTCAATTATGGGGTATTCAGATATCTTGTTATATCAACAAGTAAACATAATATATTAAATTATTTGAGATATAAAAAGTATATCTTGAAAACAGTGCAGTTCTAAATCTTTAAGGTAGGAAAGCAGCTCAGCAAATGTTTTCCTCCACTGTCCATGAGGCAAATATCTAATGACTGCACACACACACTCACACTCACACACATACATACACATTCTGTCTCAAATATAGATATATATTCACACTCTGATTCAATGAATTCAACCTCATGACTAAGGATTTGAATAGATAGTGTTTTTTAACCTTCATCTTTTCCTCTACTGCAATTTATAATTGAATTAGCTTACTTATTTCCTAGTAAAAACATTCCAGCATTGTGATACTATGATAAGGTTAAGATGTGAAAGTGTTTTTTACCATTTATTGTAGAAAACCTATCTTATTTTCAGATTTATAACAACCTTTTCAAATCCACTAAGGAGAAGTGTCTATGCCTTATAGATTGAAAAGCTCATCTTTACCAGTTAATTTACTTTTTACTTTTTCCTATAATAAAAGGCTTTCCATATCTGTAGGTACACAGTTTGACTTAATTATCCTATGTTATATATTGTAAATAATTACATGAGAGGTAATGGCAATTTAAACAAATAAAATGATGGCTATTTCTTTTTATTAACTTCATCATATTTCACTGAGGTTTTCCTTACTTTAGGCTTCCTTGATGGCTGCAATGTATGCTAAAAGTAAATTTTTATGTGAAATGTTTAAAATATTTGAAAATGATGCTTATTGTTTGTCAGGTTTTGCCACTATTAGCATGACTCAGTACCCATAGTGTCTGTCTCTTAGGGATGTGAAGCAAATGATTTCTCTGATCCAAAACATTTCATATGCTTTAAAAGTCAAACCATGCAAAGATGTGATATTTAGAATACTAGTTACATAATAATGGATAATAACTTAGCTTTTAAAACAACTGCTTTAAACATGACACATTTAAAGCTAATTTGTAACTTTCATATGTTTCTGAAACTTTCACAGTCACTAAATAATTTGAGTAAAGCAAATGGGCTTCAGACAGATTACAATTTGGAAAGATTGATTATAAATTGTGAATAATATGTAACAAAGAAAAATGTGGTCATTTGATTATATACCTCTTCCCCAAGATCAAGTAAATACTTTATCAATAGAAAAAAGAAAGAAAAGCAAAAAGAAAAGAAAAATAAAGCAACACTGCTATATAGAACATTTTTTTTTCTAAATGGAATCCAGTAGCAAAAAAAAAGACAATTGAAGATACTATTAAAAGATACAATTTAATATTAATATTGACCACACTTATAAATTCACATAATTTTATAAAACATATGCACTTCTGAGTATAAAACACACATAATACAAAAAAGATTATTACATTTTAAATTGTTAAAATTTCCTCAGTTTTTCCACACCTGATGATTACTCTCAATCTCAACAACGTAATTATAAATGATGTTTATTATTAAAAATAGATTATTTTGTGTGTGTGTGTTTTATTCAGTTAGGTGGTAAATTATAAGATTTTGCCAGGTGATTCAGAGAAGTAGCCTGGAAAAGTTTATATAGATGGTACTAAATGAAAGATAGAAAATTAAAAATTTATAGTTAAATTTATTAGAAACTTAAAATTCTTTAAAAAATTATAGTTAAGTAAATGAATCAACTAAATTTTTCCTTTTTCCTTCATATTGCAGAGTGTATTATTCCAGCCAGTTTACAATGCAGGCTTCCCATTTTGATACTAATTTTAACCTGACTTTTATATATCAATATTAAGGAGATGAAAAATAAATGTGATTGATTGTCTCCAGCTCTATATCCCTCCAAGGAGAGCTTTGGAACTGAAATCCTAATCAGGGGTTACATTTTTAATATTTTTGTCTCAAATGAATTTGAAGTCCTCCATATTATTTCCAAAGTTGCAGAGCAGAAAAGAGGTTACCAATAAAATTGGGTAGTTCTCATCCCAATTACAGAATTAGGCCAAGTTATCAGATATGCAACAAATATCCACTCAGAAAGATTGAATATTTAAATATTTTAATTTATGAAGTATTAGCCTATTGCTCAGTTATAGTATTTTGGAAATTTTTCTTTAAAAAAATATATCAAACTTGTGGTTAGATGCCATTACTGGCTCATTTTGCATCTGATCAAAACAAATACTGCATAAAACAAAGCAATGTAAGTTATAAAGCATTTTAAAATTGAAATAAGAGATCTTTATTTCTGTTGCATATCAAATGGGATTTATTGACTTCTTTTTCTCAAAAATGTCATATAGAAAATATTTCTACCCAATAAAAATTACTAATAACATTAGCATCAATGACTTACAAGTAGACACAAGTAAGATGAAACATAGATTAACTCATACCGTCAAATTCATATGGCCAAGTATAATCCCATTATATAACTATTTTCTATCACTAAGCATAGTCCAGCTATAAGTGTAAAAGGATGATGAAAAGTGTTGCTAAAACATTAAGTGAAAATATATTGAAAAGAATTCTTAAAGACAAGAAATACAAGAACACACCAATTTGCCATCACACTTTATGTTCAGCCCTTTAGTGAAAAAAAAGTTTTCTAATTAATATTTCATTTACATTGGGGACAAGTACATAATGGAGTCATCAATTTGCTTAGATTCTGAAATACCATTCATTTATGTACATATTTTCTCTATTCAAATGTACTATTCACATCACTTGTCAATTTGCATATATTAAATCATCATGCATAATTTACCATATTTTGAATATTTTATTAATAATGACCCTTTTCTACAATTTTTTATATGCACTTAAATTTTAAACAGCCAAACATTCAAAGGCTTAAAAATCAACACTTGAATTTTAAAATACTATTTGTATGAAATGAAATATTTAATTACAAATGTTAACTATATGTTATTGCTGTGACTATTGGGATAGAGAGTGGGCAGTTAGTATAAGCTATTTTGTTAATAAATAAAATTTTAAAAATAATCAATGGAATGTTCGTTTCAAACTGCTTTGTTATTTCATTTCAATTAAATTTAGCATAAACTTTACTTCACCAGCCAATTCCTTAGTTGTTCTTCTCCATTAACTCATGACTACTTTAGCTCTTGATGCCAAGCATGATGATGTTTGGTTTCAGAAGTTGTCACATTAACAATATGATCCTTGAAGCTACAATCATGCTAACCAATTTTGACAATTTTATATTTTATAGGGCCTAGTTCTAACTTTCTACTGTTATTTAATTTTATATATATTTTTTAAAATCTTGTTACTAAATTAAAAATAGACCTCTGGAAAATAAATTGAAAGTTTTTTTGTTTTGTTTTTTGTTTTTTGAGACACAGTCTCACTCACTCTATCACACAGGCTAGAGTGCAGCAGCCTGATCTCGGCTCACTGCAACCTCTGCTTCCTGGGTTCAAGCGATTCTGCTGCCTCAGTCTCCCAAGTACCTGAGAATACAGGTGCCCACAACCACGCCCGGATAATTTTTGTACTTTTAGTAGAGATGAGGTTTTGCCATGTTGACCAGGCTGGCCTCAACTCCTGACCTAGGTGATCCGCTCGTCTGGGCCTCCCAAAGTTCTGGGATTACAGGCATGAGCCACTGTTCCCTGCCAAATTAAAAGTTTTTATATGAAAAAGATATACACAAAGCAAAGATACTTTTACAATATGAAAGTGAATTATAATTGAGAAAAATATCTGCAGGCCATAATAGAATAGTTCTATTTCAATAGTTTGCAAACGATTTGTTAGTTCTGCTAAATAAAAAAATTTCCAACACTTGTTAAAATGGCTAAGGATCACTTTATTTAAGATTAAAATGATAGGAGTCAAGATTATTCTAACAGGGAAGAGAGATAAGGTTCAACTCTGAACACAGCAAAGATATCTGGGAAGTGTAGCTAATGAGCAAAGTGAAGGGTTGTCGATGAATACAAATTACTAAGAGGAGACATCAAGGGTAGGGCATTTCTTGTTAGCTAACTTAAGAGGATTCTTGCTGAAGGCAAGCCAGAGTGATCAGATATCAAGAGTGGGAGATTCTCTCTAAACTGACTTAGCAGCATTCTTGTAACAGCTGGACTAGTGGACTAGGCAGTGTAAAGACAGTGCCCAAGGACAAAGTAGAGTCAGAAAGAGTGCTCCTAGAAGCCTGACTAAAGCGTAGACAAGAAGAAAGTCTTCGTCAGTTCAAAAGTCACTTTCTATACTTATGATTTGGCCATGAGCATTCCTGTCTTTACTTGGTTTGGAGGAGTGGACTCAGCAGCATGTATGTTATGGGAAAAAAAGAGATTCGGAAAAATTACTTACATAAGTTTGAAAGGCAAGATGAATCTGGCCATATGGTAAAATCCAACAGAACTCTTCTGGTTATGAGTAATTTGTAAAATAATTCATACATTGCCCATTATATGCATTAGATATATGTAAATTTTACCATGCTCATTCTTCAGAATGGAAAAAGTGAAATACAAAGGCAAACATGGTAAAGCAATTTATTTTAGTTTTTGTGAGAAGTTGTTCTTCTAGAGAATGTTATATGACTCTATGCCCTCAGTTTGAAACTCTTATTGAACCATATCTAAATTAACTAATAAAATGAACTTTGAATTATATATGCCACTGTGTGCAAATTAACATTCATTGACTGTATGTGTATGTAAATATTGGCCAGTAAACACAGCCATTTACATCTTCATAAAGAGAATAACATTTCCAACTAAAATTCCTTCTAAAATTGGACTCATCAATTGGAAGTATGTCAAACAATTACTAAACTGATTTACTTGAACAAATATAGAAAATATTATCTAAGCTATGTGTACCTATTTTTTTATATTCCTAGAAATTAGGGGGAACTTTTATTTCCTTTGATTGAATATGAGTTTCTGACTTAACAAAATATATAATAGTGAGTCAGTAAAACGAATACTTTTACCAAGGATGGAAAGTGTTCTGAATTATCTAAAAGACATTTTCATTGCAGTTAACATTTGCCTGTGTAGAACAGATTAATATTAAAATCTATTTTTTCTTTTAACAAAATTTAGCAAATGAGGAATTTTCTATTGGTTAATTTCTTCTGACGTTTGTTCTATGTTGACCCTTCTGCCACTTCATGTTGCAAGATGTGAGATCTTACTTCATTTAACACATTCATATTCAAGGCAAACTAAATAGAATCAGGATGATAGACTTGTACATTTATGCTTTTTTACAGAAACCTTTAGAGAAGTGTTCAGCTGTATTGTATCTCACCTATAAAAGGTGGTTCACATTTCCAAATGGATAAAGGCTAGAAAAATCAAGAAAAAGAGCTGTCATGAGTACATGACAGCAAACATAATTTGGGGATTAGACTCATGACCAAATTGAAGTTCTGTAAGAAATTAAGAGAAAATTAATATTGGGCAGGCAAAATCCATGTTGGTATATCCTTATGCATATAACTAGAAATATATTGCTAATTTTAATAAACTTACTTTCAAAAATGTATTCTGTGTTATTATAATTTAACATGTGTTCATTAACTGTGTGTGTTCCTAAACCTTGTCTTATTTGGATATGATTTTTAACAATAAATAGTGGGGCAAGATGGAAAATCTGAAGTTTCACAAAAACTAAATATAAGACAAAAACAATATATATTCAACTAAAAAGGAGTTGGCAACAAACTTCTCTGATTCTATATCAAATCCCCAAAAACAATGGAATATGTATCAGTAATTATTGACTACCATAGGGTAATAATAATAATAAATGGTCATAAAATAAATTAGTTAATGGAAAATGGTAGATATTAATTATTGAATGATAAAGCACAATGTAAAACAAAATGATAATAGAAATAATCATACTCACAAACATAACAATCTGTATGTAGAAGTCTAGGTTTTCCAAATTAAAGCTGGTTACTCACAAAATCCTTGAAAAGAGTGAGAAGTTGGTGGGGTGATTATATTTTTAAGCTATGAAGTCGGATAGTGTGATGTTTCATCTCAGTACCACTATAAAATAAAGTTTTAATCCTGTTCATGTCACTCTTAATTTTCACTAGCTTTTTAGGTAAGGAAAATTCATGTCCATCGCTTCCTTGATTCATCTCTTTCAAAAGCAACATTTTAAATGGTTGATGACTTAACATCACTGCAACTATTTTCTCCTTCATTTAAGAACATAATCAACCATTTATGTGGGCATGTTTATTTTACACCTCAATTTTGGCTCAAGGAGTATAACGCATAGTGGCTTCTTTCTTTCATTTGCCGTATCAAATCCATGAACACCTGCCTTTAAGATGTATCAGATTACTTTTACCTCTTACTAGCCATGTCCAGGCAACTGCCAAAGCACTGGATCATTGGAATAGCTTAATAAATGATGACCCTATTTCTCTTACTTTCATTCCTAGAGGCTGTTTTTCAGCCAGGAGTCAGAATGATTATAAAACATAAATCAAATAATTTCACGGTCTTGCTCATAGCTTTCTAATTGTTCCCCTTCTCAAAGTAAAACCCAAAACCTTGTCATTGCTTGTGAAAGCAACAATATGGGATCCTTCTCCATACCTCCCCCAATTTATTTTATCACAGCCCTCATTGTTTTGGTCATTCTATCCTTAAGAGCCTCCTGATATTTCTTGGAAATGCCAAGATTCACCCACCTTAGAAACCACTTTGTTTTTCTGTCTTTAAAAGAGACATGCGCTGTAGATATTTGCTTGCTACTCTACTTACTTCTGGACATCTCAGCAGAATTCTTTTGAGAGGCAGAAGTCACTCTGGATCTGCATTCAAATTTCACCCTACAACTTATCCGCATGTTAATACTGCGTTTCTTTTTTTAATTTTTCACTACCTTTCTCGCCCAAAAAGAAAGAACATAAGCTCTTTTAGTCAGGGACAGCTATTTTTTTTTCTGTTTTCTCTTTTTCTTAACCTGGCATGAAGACACATTTCTGGCATAGAGCAAATGAATAATAAATATTTGTTGAATAATCTTGCCTAAGTTAATCCTTAATTTGTCAACTGTTGATTCATTTTGCTCTGAAATCAATGACAATAAAAAAGAATTGTACTTCTATTTTGTACTTTTTTACTCAGAGTAAATATTTATTGAGATTTAATTTGTGCCCTGTAAACTGCTAAACTCCTAAATCCATTAGGTCTATTTCTCCCATGAGGTAAATATTTACTCTTCATTGAGGATATAGCCAGCAAGGCAGAAACTAGTCTAGGACTTAACAAACAATCTGATTTTATTATGTGGAGCAGGTAACATCAGGGTGAAAATAACTAAGAAACAAAGCAAGGAATAGTGATGAAAGTATTAGCACTAGCAGAGAACTAATCCTTTCCTCATGATAGTAAGGTCAATGGGAGAAACTAAAGTTCCAGAGATCCAGTAATGAGCCATTTCACAGTAGAAATACTGCTGGTGAGAAATGGGACCAGGGAGAAATATGATCTCTGATGTAGGTGTCATTAGAAGCAGAGAAAACAAACAAACAAAAACAGAAGTGGCCTTTCTCCTTGCCTTTTCCTGCCCTTCAATCTTTGGCTTTTGCCTTCCCTTGCCTGAATCTACCCAAAGACTAGATGACAAGGAAGCATGAGAAATGCAGATTTCTGTTACAGTGAAAAAATAAAACTGCTGAGGAAATCGATCTGAGAGCAAACCAACTTTCATCAGCATATTAATATTATCATGTCATTTTACAGATTAAAAAATTCAAGTTCAGGGTTTGGGCTCACACCTGTAATCCCAGCACTTTGGGAGGCCGAGGGGGTTAGATCACAGGGTCAGGAGATGGAGACCATCCTGGCTAACATGGTGAAACCCTGTCTCTACTAAAAATACAAAAAATTAGCCGGGCGTGGTGGTGGGCACCTGTAGTCCCAGCTACTCGGGAGGCTGAGGCAGGAGAATGGCGTGAACCTGGGAAGTGGAGCTGGCAGTGAGCCGTGATCATGCCACTGCACTCCAGCCTGGGCTACAGAGCGAGACTCCATCTCAAAAAAATAATAATAATAATAATTCAAGTTGAGAGAGATGAAGCAACTTTTTAAGGCAATCAGACTACAGATCTAACTGTCATTTACACTAAAACATTTTAGGAAAACAAAATCATAATGCTTTTGTGGTATTTTGATATTTCAAGAAAAATAGTTATATGTTTTGGTGTGTGGCGTGTGTGTGTGTGTATACAATGACTCTACATTAAATCAAAAATTTAACTTAAATTTTTAAAGATAGAGTAAGGGCTGATAATAGGTTTACCACCAATGCACATTTTCAAGCAGTTAAGTGATTCTAATTAGTAAGAAAAAAACATAGTAGTCCATACCTAGCATATGGGCTGGCATATAGTTGGCACTCAGTGACTGTCTTTTGAAAGTTATTATGCCCTTGAGGCTGTTACAATTCCAAAATGAGATCGAGCAAAGTTTGTGATAGTTGTGATTGCACTTATAATTCACTTATAGGTGTTGAATTCTCAGTAAGGATAATCCAGGTACTTCACTTCCATTTATCCTTTGTAACATTTACTTAATACACACTTTGTGTTCTTATTGAACTTTTCTGTTATATTTTTAAAAGGTTTATTTGCCCTCCAGGTTAACTGGAGAAATAGTGTTTTATTCAAAGTTATGAAAAAGGACTTGCTCATTCTATTATTTCTACACAAATATTTATTACAAATATATAGATTACTTAAGTAGATACTTATCTGATGACTTACAAAATGATTTGAGAACAATTTAAAGTTACGTGGTGTGTTTTCTGTACACATAACCCACATACTAAGTAATTTATAAAAATCCATAAAATAGGAAATTAACTTAAAGGCCACTAGGCTCTCAGAAGAATAAATGACATTTGATGCTGGAAATCACTATTTTTTTCAGGTTTTGCATAATATATTATGTATCACTGCTCTCAAGATATTTCTTATAAAAATTAAAAGAAAACTCACACAGAATGAACTGTTATAAAATATGTAAAATTTTAGAAACTCTCATAATTATATGAATACTTAAAGCACTGCTCTGGAAAAATAATTGAAAGATAAAAGGACGTTTATCTTAAATGGTAGTGATTTTCATGTTTATTTAAAATAAGCACAGATAAAATTCTGAAAAAAGAATGATAAAGTGAACTCAGAGTAGAAAAATCCTTTAGTAGTGAAATAACAGGTAAAACAGGACTAAAATCTTTTAAATAATGTACTTAACTTACTTAGTTTTGAAAAGATCATCATCATGTATAGAAGGCCATTTTATGTCCAGAGCAATGTTGGCCTTGGTCTAAGCCAAAATTCTTAGTAGAGAGTTTTTAGAGTGTTTGCTGTGGTAACACGTGTTAACCTTTTTTCAATATAGCCAATTCAAAAATTTTAAGTAAAATATATGTTAGCCCTATTTCTACCTGCCATGCCTTTCAGATCTTATATCCTTATCTTATAACATCTGGCTGCTCCGAGATGGCCATTAAATCCCTGCTAGGAATTAGGAATCCATTCCTGTTTCAGGGTCCTCTTCATCACCTTCAAATTGTTTATGTACAGTGTACTTTTGAAGGCTATACACTTTATATTTTTAACATTTAAAAGACAAATATTGATGCTATTTATTCAGAGCTAAGTATATACGCATTTAAATATTAATCCAATATACATGTATTTGGTGCACATTACACGCTGAGTACTTTTCTAGGCCCTGAGGCTAGAGCTGGGCACAACTGAGACAAGTCCTTGCTTTGTGAAGCAGAAAACAGATGACTTCCAGTAAAGTGCTAAGTTGTGCTTGGGAAAAATAAAATTAGAAAAGCAGCTAGAAGGTGTACTGGAGATGACAAGAAACGAGAAGAGAGGTTGCTGTTATATACAGAGGGCAGAGAAGGCTTCCAGCAAAAAGCAGCATTTTACCAGCTATCTGAAGGATATGTGAAGCCCTAAGATCTTTAATTAGAAACGCTTTATTTGCAAGAGCAACAAAATATAAAATATTGATAATTTTGACAACAAATAACTTAGGATTTTCAAAAGAAAAATGACAAACTAGGTTGGCACCATGGCCTCTCACTTGTTATTTATTTTAAGCTTAATTTCTCTACTTATATAAAGGATGCAATTTTTGTTTTATTATACCCTTGCTGTGATTCATAATTCAAATAACAACTGTAAAGCTTGTAAAACTGTACCAGGTTTTTATATGGTATATGGTTTTACTCAATATATGAAAATATTGAGTAAATGTCAATTATTATTACAACTTTTGAAAACAAAAACAAGGGACAAAAGATGAGATTTGACTAAATCATGACCATGTTTTCTTAAATGAGTATTATCAATACACATTTTTTTCCAAATTACTTTAGTAAGTTTTATAATTTTAAAACACCTTAATGCATTCTAATTCTCCTCATTTATTGGAGTTAACATTTACTTTAATTAATAAAATTTTAGTCTATTTTTCTCTGTTTTGAAGACCTTTAAAATATGGATTTCACATTTTCACAAAATAATTTTTAGAATTTTTATAAATATCCAAATGGGGTGCTTTCCTATTGTTGGGATATTCCCTTTTACTAATACTGCTTTCATATTCTCCTTTCTGTAATGTATCTTAACTTCTTTTGTTGCAGAGAATGTGAACAATATTTGAAACTATACTATGGCCATACAAAAGTTGTCATGTTGTCTATGCTAACTGTTGTGCTAATTTTACTCTTTCAGTAGTGCCTGGTATAAAGTTTGGGTCTATCATGGTGATGTACTGGTGTACCTTACATATACCTTTGCTATATTGCACTTCACATACTGCCTTTTTCACAAATTGAAGGTTTGTGGCAAGCCTGCACTGAGGAAGTCTACTAGAGCCACTTTGTTTACAGCATGTGCTCACTCCATGTCTCCATGTCACATTTTGGTGATTCTCACAATATTGCAAGCTTTTTCACTATTATTATATCTGTTATGGTGATCTGTATTCAGTGATCTTTGATGTTGCTACTGTAATATGGGGAGAAACCACAAACCATACCTTTAAGAGATAGCAACTTAATCAATACATATTGTGTGTCTTCTGACTACTCCACTGAACAGAACTTCCCTGTCTCTCTCCCTCTCTTAGTGACTCCAACTTGTGAGACAGAACAATAGTGAAACTAGGCCAGTTAATAACCTTATAATGGGCTCTAAGTGTTCAAGTGTAAGAAAGAGTTTCACGTGTGTTACTTTAAATCAAAAGCTGGAAATACTTAAGCCTAGCAAGGAAAACATGTCAAAAGCCAACTTAGACCTAAAGCTAGAACTCTTGTTTTTAACAGTTAGCCAAGTTGTGAATGCAAAGAAAAAATTCTTGAAGGAAATCAAAACTGCTACTCCAGTGAACACAGGAACAGTAAGAAAGAGAAACAGCCTTATTGCTGAGACTTGGAACGTTTTAGTGGTTTTGCCAGAAAGTCAAATCAGCCACAACATTATCTTCAGCCAAAACGTAATCTAGACCAAAGCTCTAATGCTCTTCAATTCTATGAAGGCTGAGAGAGGTAAGAGAAAACTGCAGAAGAAAAGTTGGAAGCTGACAAAGGTTGGTTCTTAAGGTGGAAGGAAAGGAGCCGTCTTAACAACATAAAAGTGGAAAGTGAAAAAGTAACTGCTGATGAAAAAGCTTCAGCAAATTATTCAGAAAATTTAGCTGAAATAATTGATGAATGTGACTACCCTAAACAACAGATTTTCAATGTAGACAGAACAGTTTTATATTGAAAGAAGATTTCATCTAAGCCTTTCATAGCTAGAGGGGAGAAGTCAACACCTGGCTTCAAAGCTTCAAATGACAGACTGACACTCTTGTTAGGGGTTAGTGCAGCTACTGACTTTCAGTTGAAGCCAATGCTTATTTACCATTTGAAAATCCTAAGGCTAATAAGAATTATGCCAAATCTACTCTGCTTGTCTCTATAAATGAAGCAACAAAGCCTTTATGACAGAACACCTGTTTATAGCATGGTTTACTGAATACTTTAAGCCCACTGTTGAGACATACTAATCCAAATATAAGATTCTCTTTCAAATATTACTGCTTGTGGACCATGTACCTGGTCACCCAAGAGCTCTGATGAACATATACAAGGACATTAATGTTGTTTCATGCAACCTAACACAACACCAATTCTGTAGCTCATGGATCAAGAAGCAATTTTGACTTTCAGGTCTTATAACTTAATATATACATTTTGTAAGGTTGTAGCTGTCATAGATAGTGATTCCTCTGATGGATCTGAAAAATCTTCTGGAAAGGATCCACCATTCTAGACACTATTAGGAACATTTGTGATTCATGGAAGAAGGCCAAAGTATCAACATTAGTAGGAGTTTAGAACAAGTTGCTTCCAACCCTCATGGATGACTTTGAGGGGTTCAAGACTTCAGAGGAGAAAGTAATTGCAAATGTAGTGGAAACAGCAAGAGAACTAGGATTAAAAGTGGAGCCTAAAGTTGTCACTGAATTGCTGCAATCTTGTAATATAACTAACAGATGAGGAACTGCTTCTTATAGATGAACAAAGAAAGTGGTTTCTTGAGATGGAATCTACTCCTGGTGAAGATACTGTGAACATTATTGAAATAACAATGAGGATTTAGAATAGTCCCTAAATGTAATTGATAGAGCAATGGCAGGGTTTGAAAGGATTGCCTCTAATTTTGAATGAAGTTCTACTGTGGATAAGTACTATCAAATGATATCCTATGCTACAGAGAAGTCTTTCATGAAAGAGTCATTCAGTGCAGCATACTTCATTGTTGTCTTATGAAACTGCGCACGGCGGCTGACACCTGTAATCCCAGCACTTTGGGAGGCCAAGGAGAGCAGATCACCTGAGGTCAGGAGTTGGAGACCAGCCTGGCCAAAATGAAACCCCATATCTACTAAAAATGCAAAAATTAGCTGGGTGTGGTGGCAGGAACCTGCAATCCTGCCTACTTGGTAGGCTGAGGGAGGGGAATTGCTTGAACCTGGGGGGTGGAGGTTACAGTGAGCCGAGATGGCGCCATTGCACTCCAGACTGGGCGACGGAGTGAGACTCTGACTCAAAAAAAAAAAAAAAAAAAAGAAAGAAAAAGAAATTCCCACAGCCACCCCAACCTTTAGCAATCACAATCCTGATCACTCAGCAACCACCAGTACTGAGGCAAGACCCTCCAGCAACCAAAACATTATGACTCACTGAAGGCTCAGATGATTAACATTACTTAGTAATAAAGCTTTTTAAAATTAAGGTAAGTACATTATATTTTTAAACATAATACTATTACACACTACAGTACAATGTAAACGTAACCTTTATATGCATTGAGAAACCAAAAATTTTTGTTGACTTGTTTTATTGTGATTTTTGCTTTATTGTGATGGTCTGGAACAAAACCCACAGTATCTTCAAGTATGTCTCGAATATGTAAAGAATTTTTAAAAATTTTTAGCATATTTTACAAAACTTATTGCCTTATAAGTACTCACTCAATATTTTATTTAAGGAGTACATCTTGATTTTTAAGGGTTTCTTAGCTTTATTGATTATGTATTAAAACCTCAGCATTTCAATCATAATGTATAAGAAGTATGTTTATGTCATTATTTTTAAAACATAATTTGAATAAATGTATAATATTCCATGTATGCTGTTATCATAACATATTTAAAAATTTTAGCAACATTCAATATCTCTTATTTTATTGTTATCATATTTTGAAAATTAAAGCCGAATGATCACACTTTTTACATAGCTTTCGTTTGATTTTACTTTCAAAGATTATGGTCAAGTTCTCTCACTATGTAGACTCTTTTTCAATCATATATTTCTAGTTTCATAATTGACACAGCATGTTTCTTACTTCAAAAATAGCATAAACTTGAAATTAAATTAGATTCCTATTTAGGTACATTTGAATAATTTAAAGTAAATGTCTTACATTGCAGAGCTAGAAAAATGTTTATTTTTTATATTTTGGTTTGCTTTTGGTTCTTTTAGTTCTTTAGTTAGCTTTTTTTAAAAAATAAAACACTTTACAAATATTCTCTCTCAAATATATGTACGAACTAAATGTGGTTTGCTTTCAGCTACAGTTGACCCTTGAACACATGTGTGGACTACGCAGGTCCACTTATATGCATATTTTTTTTCAACCAAACTCAATAAGAAATGCGGTGTTTTCTGTAGGGTTGCCTTTTCCTATAAACAGGTTCCACAGGGCCAACTGGGAAACTTGAGTATATGTGGATTTTGGTACATGAAGGTGCCCCTGGAATTGATCCCCACCTATATGGAGAGATAACTATATGTTGTGTTTGCTAGATTCACCAGCCAGAGATAATATACTATTATGGAATGCTTTAGATTTATACAATTAACTAATATATTTGGCACATTTTTATTTATGGTTCACATCAAGTTACATACTCAATACATGTCTGACTTAGCTTCTTTATCTGTAATCTGAGAATACTCCTTTTCCTGAATACATATCATGGTGACGAGGATCTTACAAAACAAATCATGTCAAAGACTAGTCATGTGCTAGTTAGTTTTAAACATTCTTTAACAAATAATCTCCAGGGACACTACCTTCAACACTGAATCTTTGAGAAAATCTAGTTTTTAAATGGTCCACATTTTTGCATTAATTTTTAAAAACGTATTGAAGACCATAGGAAAGAACTGGAAAGATTTCTGAGACATCTGAAAATAATAGAAAATAATCTATTTTATATCAAGAAACATTGAACAAAAATGAAATAAATAAAAAAAATTCTGTGGAAGAAGAAATTAATTCAACCTCATATATTTCTCAGTCAATTTATTCAATCAATTTATTCAATAATGAGGTCACTTGATTTACTTCATGTGTACATTTCAATGAATGACTGCATGTCTAAATTATATTTTATACTTTTTTACTGAGATTATTCACACTTCAGTCTTCCTGTTTTGGTACAAAATATTTTAGACAAACTATTATACTTGTTCATGTATAACTGTCACCTTAGTTATAAAAATGATGCTTAAGTTAAAAACAAAATAATTTTAATAAAGAAGTGTGAGAAGTAATATATAACCTCTGAGTCAGTCAGAATCTAGCAAAGCTTTATAGATCACATTCATTAAACATTTTACATTCACTGTCAGTGGCTCTAATTAAGAATGATCATATAAAAAGATCTTTTCATTTTTCTTGGCTTTTTCTAGTTTGCCCAAATCGCACCAATTATTTCTTCTATACTGTTGGTTCATGAGTTCGTGACTGTACATAGTTAGTAATTACTTAAAATCAGATTTTTTTTTTACATTTTACTGAAACATAGTTTAATTTACCTTTGCTTTTCTCCCATTAGCTTGATATATTATTGAACTATAATAATTTTAAAAAGAAAAATCACACTATGCTAAAGATAAGGAAGCATTTAAATGACAGAACTATTTTGTCTGAATAAAGACACAAGATCATATATAGAGAAGAGAAAATGAGCTAATTCGTATATTTGGATGATATGAAGTAGATTAAATATTTTATGTTTTTAAATAAGTAACATGTTAAGCAGGACAGAAAATTATTTTTAATAAAATAAAAAATATACAAAAGCTTTAAAATTCATGCAAATATCTAAATGAAAGAAGAAATCAGACAATGTATATCTTGGCATTGTTCAGTCGGGGATTATTGCTTGGACAATATTTGCTATATTTGTATTTCTCTGTCTTGTTGTTTTTTTTCTATTAGTGGAATATAAAAATTTCAAACATGAAACTAAAATAAACCAGTAAAATAACATCATTATGGGCTGACATACTTTTGGTGTGTTAAGGTGTATTACTAATATGATACATATTGTAAAAACCATCAATAATAATTTAAAATTATAATATTTAACAATAAAATTACTATGTTTTGTAATTAACTATGTTAACTATATCATTAACTATATTAATGACACTGATATTGCATAAAAATATATTTGTATAGCAGATAAAAAGATGGGGGAGGGATAGCATTAAAAGAAATACCTAATGTAAATGACGAGTTAATGGGTGCAGCAAACCAACATGACACATGTATACCTATGTAACAAACCTGCACGTTGTGCACATGTGCCCTAGAACTTAAAGTATAATAAAAAAAAAGTTGTAAAGATAAATTTTGTCTAGAATTCAACTAACAGGCAGCTAGAAATTTTTAAGGATAATTAAAATTCAAAGATGAAATTTGAATGTTAACATAAAGCAAAATAAAGGAAATGCCAAATACATAACAATTTTAAAACTATAACAACTTCAAAATTCAAAAAGAAACTTTTATATTATTATGTTATATAATATTTTTATTTTTAAAGGCACTTTTTTCTTGTGATTAAAGGTATGTTTTCTCTAAAAAACATGTATTTTTCTACATTTAAAAAAACTATTTTTTAACTTAAAAAATAAATTTTCTTCCTTTTTCTGTTCCTATTTTATTTTTTTTAAATTTTTTTAGACTTTTGGCCATTTTTCTTAACTTGATTGTATAGCACTAAAATAACTAATAAAATACTATAATTATATAAATTTTGATAGGATGTTAGTGGAAATTTATATGCTATTCTGTTAGTTTATTAAATTAATGTTTATTTTTATACAAACATTATTTATTTTCACTTAAAGTGGCTACTAAAATGAATAATAAGCAATCATAAAATAATTATACAAAATTATATAGATAAATAAGGGCAGAAATTGTATATATATATATATATATATATTTTTTTTTTTTTTTTTTTTTTTTTTTTTTTTGAGAGAGAATCTCACTCTGTCGCCCAGGCTGGAGTGCAGTGGCACGATTTCAGCTCACTGCAAACTCCACCTCCTGGGTTCACACCATTCTCCTGCCTCAGCCTCCCTAGTTGCTGGGACTATAGGCGCCCGCCACCACACCCAGCTAATTTTTTTTTTTTTTTTTGTATTTTTAGTAGAGACGGGATTTCAGTGTGTTAGCCAGGATGGTCTTGATCTCCTGACCTCATGATCCGCCCGCCTTGGCCTCCCAAAGTGCTAGGATTATAGGCATGAGTCACTGTGCCCAGCCAGAAATTGTATATTTTTAAATACACTAATAATCTTAATAATGCATCCAGTATATTTATATCAGTTACTGAGAAAGGTGTATTAGAATCACCTTCAATAATTTTGGTTTTAAAAATTTATCCAATTAAGAGACACTAGACCTTCTGTTTTCTTCCTAGTGAAAATACAATGAGAAGGCAGCTGTCTGCAAGCCAGGAAGAACCCTTACCAAGAATTGAATCTGCTGGCACCTTTAACTTGGACTTGCCAGCCTGCAGAACTGTGAAAAACAAATGTCTTTTGTGATCAAGTGCCAAGATGACTTACTAGAAGCAGCTAGTATGCTCCACTCTCGTGAAAAGGAAATAGACTGGCCAGTAAACACTAGCACTTCAACTGGATCTTCCAAGAGGACATGTTGGGATTCAGCAAGGAAGCAACAGAAGCCATGGAGAACAAAAACAGCAAGACACAACAGCCACCCACCCAGGATTGGGTGGAGTCAGGGGAGGATCCTTACCACAAAGAAATAGTGACTGAGAGAGAGCCCCATGGCCCCATACTTCTGTCATGGACCTTTGTAATCATAGGCACAGGTGATCCACCCTGAGTCCCTCCCCCTGGGGCCTTCAGACTAACAAGGAGAGCTGCATAGAATCTGGGCAGAGCTCCAGATCAGGCACATGAGAAGTCCCGGAGGTCTTAGACCCCTAAGCACCCCAGTGCTAGTTGCCATAGCTTCACCAACAAGGAAGGCCAAGTTCTCTGCACGCCAAAGGTTAGTGGCTACATTCATGGTTCTGAGGAGCAGAGGGACTCATGCCTTGCCTCTGGTAAACCTCTCTGGGCAAAGCACACTGACCTGGAACTCCAGAACAGCCATGAAACACCCACTTGACCTCTTTGACTGGCAGCAGCTCTGCATTTCTCTGGGATGAAGCTCCCAGAGGCAATAGACATATCTGCTGTTTTTGCTGCTATTGCAGCTCCAGCCACTACCCAACTGCCTTCAGGGTCAGGAGGGAGTGAAGATCGTTATGACTATTGTGGGCCTCCAGCACAGGGCAAGCTGCCTTCTGGAAAAGCAGTCATATAGTTTTTAATGTTGGTCATGGCCCCTTCTACTCCTCACTGGTCAGGGCCTCCTGGCCTGAGCCTCCAGCACAGCCACCTACCTCAGCCTGACAACTTGGGCCAGAAGCAGCATTGCATTTCCCTGGGACAGAGCTCTCATAGGTATAAGACAGGCCTGCCGTTTTTGCCTGCTATACCCCTGCCCATACTGCCCTCAGATCAAGAGAGAGCAAAGAGGCTTAAGGATTATAGCAGGTCTTCAGCTCAGCACAGCTGCCTTATGGAGGTGTCAGACTTTTTTCCATGCCTGTCTTTGCTCCTGCTACTTCTCACTGGGCAGGGTCTCCCGACCTGGGCCCCAGCACAGCTACCCTGCTCCCACTTGAACATTTCAGACAGTGGCATCTGTGCATTTCTCTGGGATAGAATTCCCAGCGACAACCCACAGCCCCTCTGCCATTACATACAGTGGTACCACCCTTGCTGCCTGATATGGTTTGGCTCTATGTCCCCATTCAAATCTCATCCTGTAGATCCCACAATTCCCATGTTTTGTGGGAGGTACCTGGTGGGAAATGACTGAATAATGGGGATGGGTATTTCCCATGCTGTTCTCGTAATAGTGGATGGGTCTCACCAGATCTAATGATTTTAAAAACAGGAGTTTCCTGACACAAGCTCTCTCTTAGCCTGCTGCCATCCATGTAAGATGTGACTTGCTCCTACTTACCTTTCACCATGATTTTGAGGCCTCCCCAGCCACGTGGAACTGTAAGTTGATTAAACCTCCTTCTTTTGTAAATTGCCCAGTCTCAGGTCTGTCTTTATCAGCAGCATGAATATGGAATAATATAGTAAATTGGTACGAGTAGAGTGGGCTCTACTGAAAAGTGCCTGAAAATGTGGAAGCAACTTTAGAACTGGGTAACAGGCAGAGGTTGAAACAGCTTGGAGCACTCAGAAGAAGACAGGAAAATGTGGCAAAGTTTAGAACCACCTAGAGACTTGTTGAATGGCTTTGCCTAAAATGATGATAATGATACAGACAATGAAATCCAGGATGAGGTGGTCTCCAATGGAGATGAGGATCTTGGGGACTAGAACAAAGGTGACTTTTGTTATGTTTTAGCAAAGAGACTGGTGGCATTTTGCTCCAGGCCTAGAGATTTGTGGGACTTTGAACTTGAGAAAGATGATATAGGGTATCTCATGGAAGAAATTTCTAAGCAGCAAAGCATTCAAGATGTGATGTGGGTGCTGTTAAAGTCACTCAGTTTTATAAAGGAAGTAGAGCATAAAAGTTCAAAAAGTTTGCGGCTTGAAAATGTGATAGAAAAGAAAATCCCATTTTCTGAGGAGAAATTTAAGTCAGCTGCAGAAATTTGCATAAGTAATGAGGAGATGAATGTTAATCCCCAAGACAATAGGGAAAATGTCTCTAAGGCATGCCAGAGGTCTTCATGGCAGCCCCTTCCATCACAGGCCTGGTGACCTAGGAGAAAAAAAGTGGTTTTGTGGGCCAGGCCCAAGGTCATCATGCTGTGAGCAGCCTAGGGACTTGGCACCCTGCGTCCCAGCTGCTCCAGCCATGGCTGAAAGGGGCCAATGTAGACTTTAGGCTGTGGCTTCAGAGGGTACAAGCCCCAAGCCTTGGCAGCTTCCACTTGATGTTGAGCCTGTGAGTGCACAGAAGTCAAAAATGGGGGTTTGGGAATCTCTGCCTAGATTTCAGATGTATGGAAATGCCTGGATGTCCAGGAATAAGTTCACTGCAAGGGTGAGGCCCTCATAAAGAACCACTGTTTAGGGCAGTGTGGAAGGGAAATGTGGGGTTGGAGTCCCCACACAGAGTCCCTACTGGGGCACTGCCTAATGAGGCTGTGAGAAGAGGGCCACCGTCCTCCAGACCCCAGAATGGTAAATCCACTGACAGCTTGCACCGTGCACCTAGAGAAGACTAAGACACTGAATGTCACCCTGTGAAAGTAGCCATGAGGGAGGCTGTACCCTACACAGCCACGGGTGGGGAGCTACTCAAGACCTTGGGAACCCACCTCTTGCATTAGCATGACCTGGATGTGAGACATAGAGTTACTGGGAGATCATTTTGGATCTTTAAAATTTGACTGTCCCTCTGGATTTCACACTTGCATGGGGCGTGTAGCCCTGTTGTTTGGCCAATTTCTCCCATTTGGAATGGCTGTATTTACCCAATGCCTGTACCCCCATTGTATCTAGGAAGTAACTAACTTACTTTTGATTTTACAGGCTCATAAGTGGAAGGGACTTGACTTGTCTCAGATGAGACTTTGGACTGTGGACTTTTGAGTTAATGCTGAAATTAGTTAAGGCTTTGTGGGACTGTTGGGAAGGCATGATTGGTTTTGAAATGTGAAGATATGAGATTTGGGAGGGGCCAGGGGTATAATAATATGGTTTGACTCTGTGTCCCCACCCAAGTATCATCTTGTAGTTCCCATAATTTCTACATGTTGTGGGAGGGACCCAGTGGGAAATGATTGAATCATGAGAGTGAGTCTTCCCCATGCTGTTCTCATGATAGTGAATGGGTCTCATGAAATTCGATGGCTTTAAAAATGGGAGTTTCCCCAAACGAGGTCTCTCTTTGGCTGCAGTCATCCATGTAAGATGTGACTTGCTCCTCTTCTTGACTTCTGCCATGAGTTTGAGGCCTCCCCAGCCATGTAGAACTACAAATTGATTAAACCTCTTTCTTTTTTAAATTGTCCAGTGTCAGGTATGTCTTTGTCAGCAGTGTAAAAAAGGACTAAGAAACTGCCCTTGGGCTGGGGAAAGAACAAAATCCTGGTTGCTTCACTAGCACCTTCATCATGACACAGCTGCCATATAGCATAGAACCCAGTCTCTCTTCCTTGTGAGCTCCCAACTCCTATCCTTCACTAAGCAGAACTCCTTGCTTGGGCCTGCAGAGTAGCTACCTCACCCAAGCTGAACATTTCTATTGCCAGTGGCTCTGTGTTATCCTGTGATGGAGCTCCCAGAGGCAAATGACAGCCAACTGCCACTGCCCATGCAGTGGTACCTGCCCTTGCTGTCTTAGACTGGGAAAGAAATAAAAGAGCCTGAATGCTTTACTCATGCTTCCAGCACACTATGATTACCATATGATCACCATATGGCATGGAGCCCAATCTCTATTCTCTGTGAGCACTTGATCCCGTGCTCTTCACCAGGCAGGGGCCCCAGCAAAGGCTCATAGTGCAGCAGCCCCACTCCAGGCTGAAAATGCCCAGTGGCAGTGGTTCTGCATTTCTCTGGGGTGGAGATCCCAGAAGCAGCTGAAAGTTTCTCTGCAACCACTATTCAGCAGTACTGCCCTGGCTGCCCTCCAGCTGGGGAGGGAACAAGACCCCAAGTGCTTTACTCACACCTCCAGCACACTGCAGCTACCCTACAGAGAAGAGGTGAATCTGTCTTCTCACAAGCCCTGACACCCTCTGCTCATCACCAGTAGTGTCCCCCAGCTTGGTTCCAAAATGCACAGGCCCCATCAAAGGTTGACCACTCCATTTGGCAGCATCTCTGCAATTCTGTATAGTGGAGCTGCAAAAGACAAGTGATAGACCTCCAGCCATTACCACTGTCAAGGTCCTCACCTCTTTTGTCCCCAAGCTTACGAGGAAACAAAAACCTTGAGCTCAACCCAGGGCTGTGATGTGCAGCACTGCAGTGACAAGCCAAGCTATGCAGCCAGCATTTCAGTAGGAGGGAAGCCTACACACACAGAATACTGACATTGAGCGTGACTGCAAATGTGAGAAAATACACATTTGTGTATGAACAAGAGCCTACCTATCAGCCATTATAGGTAGGTAGGCTGAACAAGAGCCTACCTATCAGCCATTATACCTAAGTGTCATCAGCCAGATTGCAGCAGAAACTTCAACACTAAAATTACTTTGCTAATATAAGCCTCTGTGAAACCCAGGACAATAATTCAGCTACTAATAAAGATCATGCGAAAAGGTGCTTTGAAAACATCCAGAAACAAAGTCAACTGACTATGCTCAAATTATACCACAGTTAAAGAAACACCAGCCCACACAGATTAGAAAAAAGCCAACATAAGAACTCTAGCAACTCAAAAAGTCAGAGTGTCACTTTACCTCCAAATGACTGCACTGGTTCTACAGCAATGGTTGTTAAATAGAAGGAAATGGCTGAAATGACAGATATAGAACTGAGAGGTAGAAGGAAATGAAGATCATTGAAATTCAGTAGAAAGTTGAACACTATTTCCAAGAATCTGAGGAATCCAGTAAAATGATTAAAGAGAAAAAAATTAGCCATTTGAAAAAACAAAACAAAACAAACAAACAAACAAAAACCAAGCCTAGCAGATAGAGTTACAAAACACAGTACAAGAATTTCATAAAATGATTGGAAATATTCACAGCAGAATGGACTAAGCCAAGAAAAGAATCTCAGAGACTGAAGACTGATTATTTAAGTTAACACAGCCAGAAAATAAATAAAGAAAAGAAGAATTTTAAAAAATGAAAGGTCAGGCATAGTGGCTCACGCCTGTAATCCCAGCACTTTGGGAGGATATTGAGACCATCCTGGCTAACATGGTGAAACCCTGTCTCTACTAAAAATACCAAAAAAAAAAAAAAAAATCACTGGGCATGGTGGCAGGTGCCTGTAGCCCCAGCTACTCAGAAGCTGAGGCAGGAGATTGGTAGGAACCTGGGAGGTGGAGCTTGCATTGAGCTGAGATCATGCCACTGCACTCCAGCTTGGGCTACAGAGCAAGACTCCATCTCAAAAAAAAAAAAAAAAAAAAAAAAAAAAAGAAAAAGGAAAGAAAAGAAAAAGCCTTGGAGAAATAAGGGATTCTATAAAAAATTTCCCCAATTTCACTAGAGAGATTGACATATACATTTAGAAAATTCAGATAACCCATGTAAGATGCTATGTAAGACAACCATTGCAGAGACACAAAGTAATCAGATTCTTGAAGGTGAATGCAAAAGAAAAAAATATTAAAGGCAGTTAACGACAAGGGGCAGGTCACATAAAGTGGAAACTACATCAAACTCACAGGGGAACTCTCA
This sequence comes from Homo sapiens, assembly GCF_000001405.40. NCBI lineage: Eukaryota > Metazoa > Chordata > Mammalia > Primates > Hominidae > Homo > Homo sapiens. Next base: position 131,696,292 of record NC_000004.12, on the reverse strand, counting down.
GCAATACCCCACAGTCAAAAGACATTAAGAATCCATATTCAGCATTTTTGAAAAAATAAAATTTTGTACCAAGAATTTTATGTCCCACCAAACTAAGCTTCATAAACAAGGGAGAAATAAAATCCATTTCAGATAAGCAAAAGCTAGGGGAATTTATTACCACCAGGCCTTTAGAGACCACAAGAGATCCTTAAGAAAGTGCTAAACGTGAAAATGAAGGACTGTTACCTAGCACCAGAAAAACACACTCAAGTATATAGACCATCAACACTATAAAGTAATTACACAATCAAGTTTACATAACAACCAGCTAACAACATGCTGGGAGAATCGAATGTGCATATGTCAGTATTGAAGATAAACAAGCTAAACACCCACTTAAAAGGCACGGAGTGGCAAAGTGGATAAAGAATCAAGACCCAACTGTATGCTGTCTTCAAGAGACCCATCTCACATGTGAGAACACCCATAGGTTCAAAGTAAAGGGATGGAGAAAGAAGTACCAAACAAATGAAAAACAAAGAAGAACAGGTGTTGCTGTTCTTATTTTAGATAAAACTGACATTAAACTAACAATGATCAAAACAGACAATAAAGGACATTACATAATGATGAAGGATTCAATTAAACAAGAAGACTTAACTATCCTAAATATATATGCACCTAACACTGGAGCACTCAGATTCACAAAACAAGCTCTTAGAGATATACAAAGAAACTTACATAACTACACGATGACAGTGGCAGACCTCAACACCTCACTGACAGTGTAAGACAGATCACTGAGGCAGAAAACTAACAAAGATATTCGGGACCTAAACTTGACACTTGGCCAAATACACCTAACAGACATCTACAGAACACTCCACACATCAACAACAGAATATATATTCTTATCATCTGCACATGACACATATTCTAAAATCAACCACATGCTCAGCTATAAGTCAATTCTCAACAAATAAAAAAAAAATTTTACCAGCCACACTATCAGACTACAGCACAATAAAAATACAAATCAATACTAAGAAGATCCGCCAAAACTGTAGGATTAAGTGAAAATTAAACAACCTGAACCTGAATGACTTTTGGGTAAACAATAAAATCAAGGCAGAAATCAAGAAATTCTTAGACTCTGATGAAAACAAAAATACAACACACCAGAAACTCTAGAACACAGCTAAAGCATGGTTAAAAGGAAAGTTTCTTGTGCTAAACACTTATGTCAACAGCTAGAAAGATCTCAAATTTGCAACCTAACATCACAGATAGAGGAACCTAAAAAACAAAAAAGAACCAACCTCGAAGGTAGTAGAAGAAAAGAAATGGCCACAATCATAACTGAAATTAACAAAATGGAGATGAGAAAAAAATGTTAAAAAATCAACAAAACTGAATGTTGGGTATTTGAAAGAAAAAATAATGTTGATAGGCCATTATCTAAACTTATAAAGAAAAAAAAGAGACAATATTCAAATAAACACAATCACAAAAGAGACAAAGGGGACATTACCACTGACCCCACAGAAATACAACAATCCTCAGGGATGATTATGAACACCTCTATGTACACAAACTGAAAAACCCAGAGAAGCTGCATAAATTCCTGGAAGCAATCTTCAAAGATTGAACCAGGAAGAAAGTGAAACTTTGAACAGACTAATAGGAAGTTCCAAAATGAATTGGCAATACAATGCCTATCAATCAGAAAAAGTGTTGGCCCCAAAGGATTCACTGCCAAATTCTACCAGATGTATAAAGAAGAGCTGATACCACACCTACTGAAACTATCTAAAATAATTGAGGAGGAGGGACTCATACCTAACTCATTCTATGAGGACAACATCATTCTGATACCAAATCCTGGCAGAGATGCAATGAAACAAAAAACTTCAGACCAATATTTCTAATGAACATAGATACAGAAATATTCAACAAAATACTAGCAAACCAAATCTAGCGGTACATCAAAAAGCTAATCCACCACAATCAAGTAGGTTTTATTTCTTGCATAATATTTCCAGAATGGTATTTCCAAGGTTTTCTTCTAGAGATTTTAGAGTTTGAGGTTTTACATTTATGTCTTTAACCCATCCTGGGTTGATTTTTGTGTATGGTGAAAGGTAGGGGTCCAGTTTAAATCTTCTGTGTATGGTCAGCAGGTTATCCTGGCACTATTTGTTGAATAAGATGTCCTTTCCCCATTGTTTGTCTTTGTCAGCTTTGTTAAAAATCAGATGATTGTTCATGCATGGCTTTATTTCTGTGCTCTCAAAACTGTTCCATTACACTATGTGTCTGTTTCAGTTACTGTAGCCTTGTAGTATGGTTTGAAGCCAGGGAGTGTGATGTCCCCAGCTTTGTTCTTTTTGCTTAGAATTACTTTGGCTATTCAGGCACTTTTTTGGTTCCAAATTAATTCTAGAATTTTTTTTCTAGTTCAGTGAAAAACGTTGTTGGTAGTATGATAGGAATAGCATTGAATCTGTAACTTGGGTTGGGCAGAATGAGCATTTTAATAGTACTGCAAACCCCAAGCTTTGGTAGAGTCTATGTGATATTGGGCCTGTGGGTGTGCAGAAGACAAGAGTTGAGCTTTAGGAACCTCAGCCTGAATTTCAAAGGAGGTATGGAAACACCTGAATGTCTAGGCAGAAGTATGCTGCAGGGGAAGGGCCCTCATGGAGACCTCTGCTAGGGCAGTGCAGAAGGAAGATGTGGGGTCAGAGCACCCATGCAGGGTCTCCACTGGGGCACTGACTAGTGGAGCTGTGAGGAGAGGGCCGTCATTCTCCAGATCCCAGAATGATAGATCCACCAACAGCTCACATCACTCACCTGGAAAAGCTGCACTCAACACCAACCTGTGAAAGCAGCCAGAAGGGAGGCTGTACGCTGCCAAGCCATAGGAGTGGAGCTTCCCAAAGCCATGGTATCCCATCTCTTGCATCAGTGTGACCTGGATGTGAGACATGGAGTCAAAGGACATCATTTTGAAACTTTAAGGTTTAATGACTGCTCTATTGGATTTCAGACATGCATGGGGCCTATAGCTCCTTTGTTTTGGTCAATTTCTCCCATCTCCAATGGGTGTATTTACCCAGTACCTGCACTCCCATTGTATCTAGGAAATAACTAACTTGCTTTTGATATTACAGGCTCATAGGTGGAAGGGACTTGCCTTTTCTCAGATGAGATTTTGAACTTGAACTTTCAGGTTAATGCTGAAATGAGTTAAGACTGTGGGGGATTCTTGGAAGGGCATAATTGTGCTTTGAAATGTGAGGACGTGAGATTTGCGAGGGGCCATGGGAAGAATAATATAGTTTGGCTTTGTGTCCCTACCCAAAATCTCATCTTGAATTGTAATGCAAATTGTAATCCCCACATGCTGGGGGAAGGACATCGTGGGAGGTGATTAGACATGGGGATCATACTGTTCTCATGATAATGAGTGAGTTCTTATGACAGCTGAAGGTTTTATAGGGGCTTTCCCCCACTTTGCTTTGCACTTCTCTCTCCTGCAGCCATATCAAGAAGGACATGTTTGCTGCCCCTTCCACCATAAGTGTATGTTTCCTGGAGCCTCCCCAGCCATGCAGAACTGTGAGTCAATTAAAACTATTTTGATTCTAAATTACCCAGTCTCAGTCAGTTCTTTATAGCAGCATGAGAACAGACTAATACAGTGACCCACCCCTTTATATTTGTCTAACTGAGTTGATTCAATGAACCCATCTCCCAGCTCTAAGATTTTTTCCTCAGCTTAGTCCCTTCTGCTGTTAATACTTCCAGTTAAACAATGAAAGGCTCATAGTGAGTTTCTCAGCTCTTAGACGAGTTTGGGTCATTGTCTTTCTTTCCTTCTTTTTTTTTTTTTGTGTGTGTGTGTGAGATGGAGTCTTGCTCTGTCACAAGGCACCAAGGCTGGAATGCAGTGGTGTGATCTCGGCTCACTGAAACCTCTGAATTCAAGCCAGTCTCCTTCCTCAGTCACCGGAGTAGCTGGAACTACAGGTGTGTGCCACCATGCCTGGCTAAGTTTTGTATTTTTAGTGGAGATGGGGTTTCACCATGTTGGCCAGCCTGGTCTCGAACTCCTGAACTCAGGTAACCTGGCTGCTCAGCCTCCCAAATTGCTGGGATTACAGGTGTGAACCACTGTGCCTGGCAAGAGTTTGGGTCTTTTAAAAAAAAATGACTATTTTGTCTCTTAGCTCTTGTTTCTTTCTAATTGATTCCTTAGATTCTTTGGATGGGCTTTTAACTGTCTCCTGAATCTCAGTAATTTTCATTGCCATCAAGCTTGTGAATTCTCTATTATTTCAGTCTTTTCAGTCTGGTTAACAGCTGTTGCTGGGGAGTTACTGTGGTCATCTAAAGTTAAGAAGACACTCTGGGTTATTGAATTGCCAGTGTAGTTATGCTGGTTCTGGTTCTTTCTCATCTCTGTGAGCTAATGTTCCTTTAATCGTTGAAGTTTGTTTGTTTGTTTGTTTGGATGGGGCTTTTTACTTGTATACTTTGATGCCGTTGAGGGTTTACTATGCTATAAGTTGCATTTAATTGACTGGCTTCATTTCTGGATGATTTCAGGTGGCCAAGGCTCAGCTCAGCTCTCCTGGGATGTGTGCTCTAACACTGGGGGGATTGGGACCTGGCCCACAGCTTTGTTATATGCCCCCTCAAGATGAAGTACCTGCTGCACTGACAGGGCCACAGCATTCTCAGTCCACTGGCAACAATAGTCCAATGGGGGATGCCAACAAAAGTGCTTAATTGGAGCATTTGCTGAGGGGTCCATGTTTACGCACATGTGCACCAGCTGCAGCAGGGGTGCAGTGTGGCATGTTATACTCATACTCACCCTGGCAGTGGCAGGTTGTCAGGGTTTACACACACACACCAGTGGGGCCCATGCAGTTGCAGTGAGGCCTCTGCATATGTGCACACTGACAAAACAGTGAGTAAAGACTGTGCACAGTGCATGCCGGCAATGCAGTGAGGGGGGACTGTAAGTAGGTGTGCACTATTGGAGGTATATTTGCAGAAGCTCTGCAATGAGAGCAGAGTAGTGTTTGCTGCTATGGTGATGGCCACTGAGAAGCACCCTCGTTGGGCATCCAAAGCTGCCCTCCAACAGGGTATGGACTGGCGGGGACCCCAGGAGAGGCCAGTCAACAGGAGAGCATCTAATCACACTGGCATGTCCCACGGGCAAGACAGCCCTTCTCTGTGCAGGTCTGACAATCAATAATGACCAAAGTCACTCAGAGGCATGCGGTAAGCCTTAGGAAATGGGTGTCCCTGGCTGTGCTTCACTGGAACCATTCTTATGTCAAACTATCTGGGCTCTACACATACTGGAATCCTGTCTTTGCTACTTCTCCAAGCAACTCTCCTTGCTAGCTCGAATGTCCATGGGGATTGTGAAGTCTCCTAAAGCTAGGATTCTGGAGCTCTTTGGAAAGAGTAAGCCACTCCATCATATTTAACTCACCCCTTCCCTCACCTCTCAGGGCCAGGAATGAGTCCTGGTGCTCCACAACCCCATGCTGGGTTCCCAGCTTTCTGATCCTTTAGCCCAGTGTCTCCATCCTCTCTCCTTCCACTCTCAATGCTTTCCTTTTGAAGATCTGCTCAGAGTGTGCTGGTTTTCTTGATAGTCAGCTCTTTCAGTGGAGGATCTTCCCGGCTCTGTCTTGATGGCCATTTTGGCTCTTCTGTCTTTTAGGGTTTCCTTGGTGAGTATCAGGTGTTCATAAATTAAGGATTTATATGTTGGGTTTAAAAATCAAGATTGTAAATCAAGATACCTTTAGTGTGATGAAAGGAAGTAAATTATAAAACGTATTTAGGTTACTATGTTGCTCTTAATAAGTAGTCTGGCTGCCACATTTTAAAGTGTCTTTTTTTTTTCCCTATGGTTGTTTTAAGGATTTCTTTTTCTCTGTCTGTCTCTGTCTTTCTGGCTCTCGTTTTCTCTCTTTCTCTCACATCAGATTTATTGTTAAGTGTTAATTCAGTGGTTATTTTTTCCTCGAAATTTACTGTGTTTCTTGAATGGACACATGTATCTTTCATCATTTTGGAAAGTTTAAGCCATTAAGTATTCACATATTTATCTGCTCCATTTATTTTATTCTAGCTCTCTATTTAAATATATCACCTCACACAACTCATTATTTGTGATAACCACTCTTCTACATTTCCATTTTTTCATCTCACTGTATTGAACTGTGCTCATTTGCTTTTCTGATTTAGCTTCCAGTGATCTAGTTCTTTTGCTGTGTCCAAAATATTATCATACTCATGCTCCTAATGTTTAATTTTAGTGATAATATCATTTATCTTTAAAATTTGTTATTAGTTTCATGTTAAAACTGAAAGATTACATTGTATTGTTTTCATTTGGCAGATATTTTCAAATTTACTTCTTAGAACATAATACAAATACATGTTTTTCAATGTGTCTGTAATAATACCGGATCTGCAATTTTTGTGACTTTTTTCTGTTATTTTTCCTGCTACTTATTGCAAAATGTGTCCTGTTTCCTTGCATTCTTTATTAGCTTTGAAAGTATGATGCTTACTGCTTCTGCCAAAATTACTTGGAAGGATTCCTCAAATCCTGGAATGATGACTTCCTATATAGAATCATTTTCTTTATCTTTACTAGGTATCTCTGTAGATTACTTTAAGAACAATATAAATTAAATTAGTAGCTTCCTGCTGTGACAGCCAGACTGTGGACTATCCTTCAAAATCACAACTTTTCCCATTTCTACTATTTAACCTGGTTTATTCATTTTCAGGAAAGCAATCCACACATTTTCCCGGAAGTGGAGGGACAAGGGTCAGTAATTGTTTGCTTTAAACATACTCTGATATTTCAGGCCTTTAAAACAATAGCACAGGTTTTAGGAAGTGGATTTCCAAGAAAACTTCCCATTTTTGCCTGACATTTCTACTACTGCCTTCTCACTTATCCACCATTGAGTTTCTTCTGGATCAAACAACCTTCTTGAAAAATATCCAGATACTTGAGCCCTAATTAATTCTCATACTTTTTTTTTTTTTTTTTGAGACAGAGTCTTGCTCTGTTGCCCAGGCTGGAGTGCATTGGCGTGATCTTGGCTCACCACAACCTCTACTTCCTGGGTTGAAGTTATTCTCCTGCCTCAGCCTCCCAAGTAGCTGGGACTATAGGCATGCACCACCATGCCCAGCAAATTTTTGTATTTTTAGTAGACATGGGGTTTCACTATGTTGACCAGGCTGGTCTCAAACTTCTGACCTCGTGATCCACCCACCTCAGCCTCCCAAAGTGATTTTTGATCAAGTAATTCCTTACATACTTACCATTTTCTTCCTTTAAGAAGATTTTATAAAATATTTATATCTCTATTAATATTATTTGCCTTTACCTGACAGAAGTAGATATGCATCATTTTTTGATGCAGGTGGAGACTTAATAATTGAGAAAAATAATATAATCTATAAGCCTGTAGTAAAGATTAAACCAAAAAATCAAGAGTTTGATCACCTCTGCAGATAAAGGAAATAAATTGATAAAGTTCAAAATTTGCACTACATTTGAAGGAAGTAATTTGAAATCATTTATCTTATAAAGGCTTTATAATCCAAGAATTAAAAATACTCACTTTTTTCCATTTTAGGTATTCACATCAAAAATCTATTACCTAACATATAAAACTATCAAGTATGTTGATTATATTTTTAGTATAGTGGTATTGTTTATCCTGATTTAATCTTGAAGATTAAAAATAAAAATAATGTTAACTTCAGTTAACTGTTCAGGCAAATTATTTTCTTTTTTGATAAAATGTATTTGTGTTGCTACACACAGACATGGAGCTGCAGATTTTCTCATTCAAGTTATTAAAATGCCAACCACCTTTGTAATGCTAGTAGTCACTGCCAAATCAATTTTCATTATATCGGGGGGAAAATACAAATCTTCTTAAAAACTGATATAACTGAAACTGTACGTACATTGTATTATATCACAAAATACATGTAAGTATAATGAAGAAAAATTTGTTAAGAAAGTTTACCAAAGCATTCTAGTTAAGATTACGTTTAGGTGGGTAAGAAATTTTTCATTTCCAAAAAATTACAAAACAACAGTAAATTGAGTTGGTATTTCACAATATTTGAATTGCAATAGTATGAAGTGTGTAGCTAAATGCATGCTATTTATGAGGCAATAGTTATGACAAAGGCATAGTAACATAATTGATTTCCCTTTGCATTCTGAGTTTGAGAATAATTAGGTAAATGACATATAAATGAACAAGAAATAATTCCATTGATCTTATTAGGCATTATTATTAAAGTATACCAGTGTACTTAATGGAAAAAAATGTACATATCGCTATAAATTGTTCTCTCTGCTAACATATAATATTTTAAATTTTGAAAACAGAAAGTTAATGTTATTAATCATTTTATTAAATAAAGCAAAGATATATCAGCCCTAATTATAGTAATTACTTCATGATATGTTTGGATAAACATGTTTATTAAAACAGAATTATATATTTGAAAGATACTATACAACATTTTATTTACATATTTTAGTTGAAGTCTACTGAAAATACACCAGAAAACCTAACGGATACACTTAACATAAGAGAAACATTATCCTACACTGTTCCACTTTTTCAAAGATGTTATTCCTCCTAGTTAATGACTTACTCTAAAAAGAGTATTAGAAGTAGCTGAAAAGAAAGGCTATGTTTAAATATGTGAAGAGGGCAAGTTTGAACATTTAATATTTATTGCCCACCTCTTAGCTTTGTTATGCTCTCAAGTGACTCTTAAGAGAATTTCACACTTCAACAGTATTCAGAGAATAAGAGACATGACATTGTTAAATACCATCAACATGCCTGCTGCTCCATTTTGAAATGTTCCTGAATTCAAAATACCCCAAAATAGTTCAGAATATCTTGCTTCTGATGTCAGTATTTACTCTGAACAGAAATATTTTGAATGAAGAAACACAAATATGTAATGAGGTATAATAGTACCCCTCACTAATTATTAAAGAAAGACTACCCGAAAACTAGATTTATCTTCTTGCTTGAAAAACAAAATCAGGGACACCCCCACAGAAATACAAGACTCTGGATATGAGGGAATTAAGTAATTCCCGGAAGACAGAAAACAAAGGAGTTAAACCCTGCTACTGCCCTAATTTAGTGGCTAGAGTTTCCAGCAGTGGGGCAGAGAAAGTGGGCTCCTAGCATTGTACAAAGCCAAGAGTTCCAGGAGACTAAGGTAACTAGAGTTTCTAGGTCTGAGAAGCTAGACATTCAAAGAGAGAAATCTCTGATATCTAAAGATGTTCTCCTTTCAGTGCTTAGCAGAATACTGATTAGTGTATACATGTGAGTAATCTGCTCACTGCCAGGGAAACAAGCATCTTCAAAGATTAAAAACAAACAAACAATAACGACAACAAAAACCAGTGCCTGACATTCACATATGACCTGGATTATACCTGTATTTGCCAGCCAAATGAAAGAAAAAAAGCTCAATTCACAGAGCATTTGGTAAAGCAATTTAAAAGGTCTTGCCTCAGGGGTAGAAATTAATTACATTTAAACTGAGTACTGAGTTGAACCCATCAAAAAATCATAAAAGAAGTATCTAAAAGGATCAAGCGGTTTTGAACAAATTAACTGTGTCCTAGAGAAAAAGCTCATATTTTGTACAGAAATACAAAATATCCAGCACTCACAAAGATAACATTAACAAAAACTTCCATTATATTAAACTGTAGATAGGTTAAAATTTCTTTAACAGATTCACAGAGACTGGCAGCACAAAGTTTTGTAAGGATTTAGAGCTACTGGAACTCTCATACCTTGATGGTAGAAATGTAAAATGTTTTAAAAACTTCTGAAAACTCTTTGGAAATGTCTTATTTTCTCATAATGTTAAGCATACACCTATACTATGACAAAGAACTCCATTATAAGGTGTTTACAAACCCTCGATCAGAAAAAACATAACCAAAACATAAGTTGTATAAGCATGTATATGGAAACTTTAAGACAGTCAAAAATTTGAAAAATTCTAAATGTCTATCAAAGAAAAGTGGATAAACATTATGTGACATAATCACACAAGAGAGATTATCTTTCACCAATTAACAATTAATGAGCTTTTGATATGCACAATGACACAATTAATCTCAAACACATGTTGAACCAAAAGATGCCAGGCAGAAATTAGTGCACAGTTTTAATTCCAAAAACAGATACAACTACTGTGCAGATATAAGAAAAGTGATTGCTTCATTAGTGAGAGGTATTAACTAGAAAGAGACATTAGGAAAATTTATTGGGTCATATTTGTGCACTTGAATGAAAGCAGAATTTATTTTTGTAAAAATAAAGATGTCAGCAGATATTCAACTACTATACATGTACTGTCACATGTAACCTACCAAGAAAAATGTTTAAAAATACTTTTACAAAATGACTATTTAAATTAAATAAATTTGCAACTATTTGAAAACCAATTTGGCTGTTTTCTATAAAATTAATTATTCATCTACCCAACTTCCCTATAATCAAGTCACTCCTAGGCACTTATTCAAAAGGAGTAAAAACTCTTCTCCACAGAAAGACTTGAATAAGAATTGTAATAATGAATTAACTTTTAATTACCCCAAAATAATAAAGCTGATGTGTTCAACAACAAATAGAAAAAAATCTGGTATATTCATACAAGAAAATACCACCTACCTATTGAAAGAGACCAACTATTTATATATGCAACAGCATTTATGAATATCAAAAACATTATTTTAACTAATATGTACACAAAAGTACATGTTGTATGGTTCCATTCATATGAATTTCTGGAAGACAAAAACTAATCAATTGTAAATAGAATAGTTGTTGCCTTGGGAATGGAGATGCAGTTAAATGAGAAAGAACATGAGTGGACTTTGTGGTATGATGGTTACTACAACATAATAGTAAACATTACTATATTTTAATTACATATGTATATGCATTTGTCAAAACTTATAAATATTACTTAAATTCGTTCACCCTATTTTATGTAAATTTTATATAAAAATAAACAAAACAGAAAAAAATCCTAGTCTTTTTAGGAGTATGATCAAAGTTAATCACAGATTGTTTATGTGTGAATGAACACACAAAAAATATGTATGTGCTTACCTCTCCAAAACGTTGAAGTGTCCACTTGTCAAAGATACCATTAATATTTATTCATTTAACATATGATTCAAACGTTTAAATATTTAAAACAAATATTACCAACACTTTTGGTAAATTGGAAAGTTTAAGTTAATATCGAATTGAGAGTTTTTTTCTCATTTGGTTGATTCATTAATAATTATAATCAGCAAAAAAAATTTGCATATGTTACATTTGGTTATACAGATTCATTTGTGACATATAATTGCAGTATTGGGTAATGACTGATAAAGTTGTATTTTATCAAAACAGCTTTCTGAGTATGTGATATTGTGATATATAAGTAAAAAAAAATGCTAATTCATGAGATATTCTTTCCCTGGAAGAATATGGACAACAGAAATATTTTGTAGCATCAAATTTTAGACAAAAACAGAGGTTTACATTTAACATCAATGTCAATAATAGCGTCAGAATTGATATCAAACTTGAGGAATATTTTTGCCAAAAGTAGGTCTTTCATAATTAATATGAATTGATTTCTGCCAAACGATCATATTTAGCCATGTGGTCAGTAATATAATGTAAATTATATGTAGATATATATTTTAAAGTTGAGGACACCTAAATAAAACATGTAAATTATTTTAATTACATTTTTAATCTATTATATACAAAGTATTTAAGTATATTTAAAACATATTTAATTTAACTAATTTTTTGAGTGATTTGGGCAAAATTCTGTTTTAGTTCATGTATAGACATGCATATATTTGAGTTATTGAAATTACAAACATTTAAGTAGTCTACTCTTAGCATATTATTATGTCCTGTATTCATTAAAACATTAATTGCATTAAATTCAGCTACTATGAATAAATAATCTATCACATATACATTTCAAAGGTAGAAGCATTTCAGTTTTATACAAGGATGTCTTTTTGAGCTGACACAGGTTTCCAAGATTTGAGACAATATCAGAAGATTTATTAAAAATGATATGAGACTGCAACTCCCCACATCACTTTGCTGCCATATATCTGCATGGGTGGGCTTTACTTGCTTCAACAGCACATGGGAATGCAGTGTGCCCCCCATAAGCCCCACCAACCACCACTGCAGATGGATCCTTGTTGGGCACAGAGTCATCAAGCCCCATCTACAAGTGCCCTGCCCTTGTGCTGTGCTGCACACAGAGCAGGGGATCCCCCCACAACCTGAGCAATTGCTCCTGCTTGCAGACCACAGATAAGGCTCCAAGACCTCCACTGGCCAGCACCCCACCCCAAGCCATCACCACCTACAGTGCAGCAGTGCACGCTGTCTCCAGCAGAAGGCCCTTGCTCCCCCAACAGCTGCCTTGCCTCCAATACTGTGGTGAACACCTGCAGAGAGGCAGACACCCCTATATCCACTAGTACTTTGCTGCAGGTACCGCAGTTTGCTATCCCCAGCACAGTGGACTACAAATCTCGAGGAGCCACAGTGTAAGAGATCGATCAGGTTGTTGTGGGAATCAGGAGACTGGAGAGATTGGTAGGTGAAACAGAAGGATTTTTATTGAGTGGACTCAGAACCAGCAGATTAATATCCAAAGACTGGACCCTGAACAAAGACAGCACTTGCCTTTTATACACACTTCTAAAAGGGGGTGGTCTAACTTGAAACAAGCTTACAATGGTGGAAAGTATAATGACACAAAAGCAAGGATACAGAAGAAGAACAAAGGCAGTCAATCATACTATGACAAGTTCACAACTCAGGTTTACATATGACTCTTGCTATGCAGCCCAGATAGCTGTTATCTAGGCTTGCTCCAGTGCTTTACATGGGCTTATCTCATAACCTTTGCTATGGCATCTAGGGGACTGCAATCCAGGCCTGCTCAGGTGTCTCATGTTCTTCACTGTGCTGCTTAGATGAATAACAGAATCAAAAGAGAAAGGAAAATTTGTTTTTCTTCTCCCTATGTTGAGGGAGCCCTGGGAGACTCTCCAGAGCACATTCTTTGAGCCCCGGCTTCTTAGATAATGCTGTTGAGACTTTGCCTGGGCCTGGGCTTTGCCTGTTACTGCCTTTGGGATGAGTCAGCCTAATACAGAAAGATTGTTTCTTTCTCTTTTTAATTTTACTTTTCTTTCTTTAATTTCCGGCCTCAAGGGTGATGGGAGAAGATGTAAGAAAAATTATAGGGAAAGATGCAAACCTTCTTGGAAGGCCAAAAACTTTGGAGAAGAATTTAGCTGAAGGCAGCTAAATTTTCTTAAGGGCAAAGGTTAGATAACAAGGGAATGTAAAGAAACATATCTAGATAAATTGGTTTACTTGTGTCTCAGGAAACCAACTTTTGATCATTCATGTGCAGGACTGCTCTCTACTCAGGGGTCAACAATGTTAATTTCCCACAAATTATGTTTGCTCCAGGTCTTTGTCTTTAAATCTGTACTAAATTAATACAAAGGTCTCTGGCTTAGTGGGATTGTACTCTCATTGGCAATGCTAAGCAGTGCAGTCCCCTAGCTGCATTCTCAGGCAAAATAACTGTGTCTGAATACTTTTTTCATTTGTCACTCAGCCAGAGTCTGCAGGATGGACCCGACACAAGAGAACAAAGCTAGGGCCTAATACAAGTCCCCCAGAGTTAGAGCACACAGTCCAGAAGTTGGGAGCTGAGTGTTGGTGCCATAAAATCTCCCAGAAATGAAGCCAGTCAGCTGAATCTACCTTATAACACAAACAAATCTTCAACATCATCAAATAGGATGAAAGAAAACAAAATACTGTCCAAAGGTAAGCAATCTCAAAGACTGAAGTTAGATAAGTGCACAAAGATGAGAAAGAATCAGTGCAAGAATACTGAAAACTCAAAAAGCCAGAGTAACTTCCTACTTCCACATAACTGCATCACCTCTCCAGCCAGGGTTCAGAACAGGGCTGAGGCTGCAATGGCAGAAATAGCATTCAGAATATAAACAGTAATGAAATTCATTGAGCTATAGGAGTATGTTGTAAGCCAATACAACAGAGCTAAAAATCACAATACAACATTGCATGACCTGGCAGACAAAATGCCAGTATAGAGAACATAACCAACCTGATAGAGCTGAAAAACACTACAAGAATTTCACAATGCAATCACAAATATTAACAGCAGAATAGACCACGTGGAGGAAACAATCTAAGAGCTTAAAGAATGGCTTTCTGAAATAAGACAGGCAGGTAAGAATAGAAAAAAAGAATGAAAAAGAATGAACAAAACCTCTGAGAAATATGGGATTATGTAGAGACTGAATCTACAACTGGTGTACCTAAAAAGGATAGAGAAAATGGAGTCAACTTAGCAAAAGTTGACTTTTGATATTTTTGATCTCATGGATCAAAATATCATCCATGAGAACTTCCCTAACATAGATAGAGAGGTCAACATTCAAATTCAAGAAATACCGAGAACTTCAGTAAGATACTCCACAAAAAGATCATCTTGAAGACAAATAATCATCAGTCTCCAAGGTCAAAGCAATAGAAAAAATGTTAAAGACAGTGTATTAGTCTGTTTTCACACTGCTGATAAAGACATACCTGAGATTGGGTAAATTATAAGCAAAAAGAGGTTTAATGAACTCTCAGTTCCACATGACTGGGGAGACCTCACAATCATGGTGGAAGGCAAAAGTCATGTCTTACATGGCAACAGGCAAGAGAGAGAATGGGAACCAAGCAAAAGCAGAAACCCCTTATAAAACCATCAGGTCGTGTGAGACTTATTCACTACCACAAGGACAGTATAGGGTAAACTGCCTCCATGATTCAATTATCTCCCACTGGGTCCCTCCACAACACATGGCAATTATGGGAGCTACAATTCAAGATGAGATTTGGGTGGGGACACAGAGCCAAACCATATTATTTTGCCTGTGTCCCCTCTAAATGTTGTGTCCTCGAATTTCAAAACCAATCATACCTTCCCAACAGTTCCTCAAGTCTTAACTCATTTCAGCATTAACTCAGAAGTCCACAGTCCAAAGTCTCATCTGAGACAAGACAAGCCCCTTCCACCTATGAGCCTGTAAAATCAAAAGAAAGTTAGTTACTTTCTTGATACCATGGGGGTACAGGCATTGGGTAACTATACCCATTCCAAACAGGGCAAATTGGCCAAAACAAAGGGGTTACAGGCCACATGCAAGTCCAAACCCCAGCAAGGCAGTTGAATCTTAACGCTTCAAAATGATCTCCTTTGACTCCATGTCTAACATCCAGGTCATGCTTATGCAAGAGGTGGGCTCCCATGGTCTTGTGCAGCTCTGCCCCTGTGGCTTTGAAAGGTACAGTTCCCAACTAGCTGCTTTCACAGGCTGGTGTTGAGCATCTGAGGTTTTTTAGGTGCATATGCAAGCTGTAAGTGGATTTACCATTCTGGGGTCTGGAAGATGGTGGTCCTCTTCTCACACAGGCAGTGCCTCAGTGGGGACTGTGTGGGGCTCCAACCCCACATTTCCCTTCTGCACTTCCCTAGCAGAGGCTCTCCATGATCACCCCCACCACTCCCCCACAGCAAACTTCTTCCTGTACATCCAGGTGTTTCCATACATCCTCTGAAATCTAGGCTGAGGCTCCCAAGCCTTGCTTCTTGACTTCTGTGCACATGCAGGCTCAACTCCACATGGATGCTGCCAAGGCGTGGGGCTTGCGACCTCTGACGCCATGGCCCAAGCTGTACCTTGGTCCCTTTTAGTCACAGCTGGAGTGGCTGGGATGTAGGGCACCAAGTCCCTAGACTGACTGCACACAGAGAGGGGCCCTGGGCCTGTCCCCAGAAAACATTTTTTCCTCTTAGGCCTCTGGGCCTGTGATGGGAGGGGCTGCTGTGAAGACCTAGGACATGGCCTAGAGACATTTTTCCCATTGTCTTCATGATTAGGATTTGGCTTCTTGTTACTTATGCACATTTCTGCAGCTGTCTTGAATTTCTTTTCAGAAAATGTTTTGTTTTTTTTTTTCTATTGCATTGTCAGACTGCAAATTATATAAATATATATATAATTTAAATAATATGAGCCAATAAATACATAACTAATTAATATTTAAATTATTAAAGATAAATATTAATTATAACTATTTTATCAAAATTGTAAATATGGAAATGTATGTAACATACAATTATTGATAAATAAGTTGGGGGTTTTACTTGTGATTTTCTCAAAACCTGAATAAAAATATCCTTTCTTTTTTGAGTCCTGGATTTTCTTCAGTTTGAACAAATACTGGAATTATTAACTCTGCACCAAAGCTAAATAACTGATTAAGGACACATGATGAACCTATTTGCATAAATGTGTAAATGTTGTTTTTAAAAGCAGTGAAAAAGTTAATGAAGATATTTAATTAACCTGAAGAGTCCACTTACTGGATAATTCAATGTCATTAATTAGGTGACTCATAAAGCAGAGGCTTTCCATTTTTTGAGAGTGGCTAGGAAAAAAAAGCTTAGGTTTACAACATGACTCTACTAAGAAACCTGAACATTATTTCATTACTTTTTATCAAGCTAATATGAGAAAGGAAGCAACAAGATAAAAATAAATGACAGTCACTTCTTGGACTGGAAGCAAAGAAGTTTAACAAAAGAAAAAAAAGCATTCTTCCCCACTTTCTTAAAAATTGAGACCACATTTTAAAATAATTTTGCTTGAGGTCTAATTAAAAATATCATAGTTTCTGTCTTCTGGAAGATTATGGTTTTTCAAAACTGCAACCAGTAGGCAGATAAATAAATATAAATTACAATAAACATAATGTAGATGTATCTTTACAGAAAACTTTAGATCAAATGTTAGCTTTTTCTACAAAGGGTCAGATTTTAAGTATGTTAGGCTTTGACAATCATACAGTTTCTGTTGCAACCACTCAACTCTGACATAATAGCCTGAAAGCATCTATAGACCACATGTAAGTGAATGATCTTGTGTCCAAAAAAAAACCTTTTTATTTGTGAAAACACTACAGTTTTTACTTTATGCAATTGTTATATGCTACAAAATGTTATTTTAAAAAATTGTTTCAATCATTTAAATCTCTAAAAACCATTATTACCTTGCAGGCTGTACCAAAACCATAGGCCACAGGCTGCCAGTGCTGACACTGAAGAAACAAAATTGTGATATCAGTACAGCCTTCACACAGAAAATAGAGTTTGAAACTAGAATATCAAGTACAGCTGGAGAGTTAAATGAAAAGTCTTATTAGTTACATGGAGTGGGTTTTGCAAGACACTGGTGAGAAGTACAGAATTTGGGGTAATTGCAGTAATTATGTGGGCTTAAATATATATGTGTGGGTGGAAGAGGGAGATGTCAAGCGATGAGAGTAGAGATGAGTTTAGGATAAATTACAAATGTCTTCAGGCCATCCAAAGTGTTTATAATTTATTCTAATGGAAGTGACAAGACATTAATGAGATCTAAAATAGGGACTACAAGAAACAGATTACAATAGATAAACAAGACTGTAGGCAGAGAGCTTCTTAATTCCACAGTTCACTGGCAAGTCCAAGAAGAAACTTAAGGTGACCTGAACTATAGTAATGACAGTGGATTCACTTATAAGTACAGTCTTGAGTTGATTAATGATGAGAATTCATTCTGAGAAATATGTTCCCTAGGTGAACATCATAGTGTCCTTTTACAAACCTAGATGTAGTGTAGCCTACTACACACTTTGGCAATAAGGTAGAAGTTATTGCTTTTAGGCTACAAGCCCTTACGCCAGGTTACTATATTAAATAATGTAGCCAACTGAAACACAATGATAAACATCTTTATATCTAAACATAGAAAACATACAGTAAAAAGATATGGTATAAAAAAAAGTTGTACACCTGTATAGGATGGTTACTATAAATGGCACTTGCAGGCCTAGAAGTTGCTAGGGATGAGTCAGTGAGTGAGTGGTGAGAGAAAGCAAAGTCCTTAGACATTACTGAACACTACTGTAGACTTAATAAACACTGTACACTTAGGCTACATTACATTTCTAAAAACTATTTTTTCTCTAATAATAAAATAACCTTAGTTTACTGTATCTTTTTGACTTTATAATTTTTTTGACTCTTGCAATAACGCTTAGTTTAAAACACAAACACATTGAACATCTGTACAAAAAATATTTTCTTTCTTTATACCCTTATTATATAAGCTTTTTTCTACAATGGAACAGAACAGAGCCCTCAGAAATAATGCCACATATTTACAACTATCTGATCTTTGATAAACCTGAGAAAAACAAGTAATGCGGAAAGGATTTCCTATTTAATAAATGGTGCTGGGAAAACTGGCTAGCCATATGTAGAAAGCTGAAACTGGATCCCTTCCTTACACCTTATACAAAAATTAATTCAAGATGGATTAAAGACTTAAACGTTAGACCTAAAACCATAAAAACTCTAGAAGAAAACCTAGGCATTACCATTCAGGACATAGGCATGGGCAAGGACTTCATGTCTAAAACACCAAAAGCAATGGCAACAAAAGCCAAAATTGACAAATGGGATCTAATTAAACTAAAGAGCATCTGCACGGCAAAAGAAACTACCATCAGAATGAATGGGCAACCTACAAAATGAGAGAAAATTTTCCCAACCTACTCATCTGACAAAGGGCTAATATCCAGAATCTACAATGAACTCAAACAAATTTACAAGACAAAAACAAACAACCCCATCAAAAAGTGGGCGAAGGACATGAACAGACACTTCTCAAAAGAAGCCATTTATGCAGCCAAAACACACATGAAAAAATGCTCACCATCACTGGCTATCAGAGAAATGCAAATCAAAACCACAATGAGATACCATCTCATACCAGTTAGAATGGCAATCATTAAAAAGTCAGGAAACAACAGATGCTGGAGAGGATGTGGAGAAATAGGAACACTTTTACACTGTTGGTGGGACTGTAAACTAGTTCAACCATTGTGGAAGTCAGTGTGGTGATTCCTCAGAGATCTAGAACTAGAAATACCATTTGACCCAGCCATCCCATTACTGGGTATGTACCCAAAGGACTCTAAATCATGCTGC
This sequence comes from Homo sapiens, assembly GCF_000001405.40. Classification (NCBI taxonomy): domain Eukaryota; kingdom Metazoa; phylum Chordata; class Mammalia; order Primates; family Hominidae; genus Homo; species Homo sapiens. Next base: position 131,677,011 of record NC_000004.12, on the reverse strand, counting down.
TATAAAGACACATGCACACGTATGTTTATTGCGGCACTCTTCACCATAGCAAAGACTTGGAACCAACCCAAATGTCCAACAATGATAGACTGGATTAAGAAAATGTGGCACATATACACCATGGAATACTATGCAGCCATAAAAAATGATGAGTTCATGTCCTTTGTAGGGACATGGATGAAATTGGAAATCATCATTCTCAGTAAACTATCGCAAGAACAAAAAACCAAACACCACATATTCTCACTTATAGGTGGGAATTGAACAATGAGAACACATGGACACAGGAAGGGGAACATCACACTCTGAGGACTGTTGTGGGGTGGAGGGAGCGGGGGGATAGCTTTAGGAGATACACCTAATGCTAAATGACGAGTTAATGGGTGCAGCGCACCAGCATGGCACACGTATACATATGTAACTAACCTGCACATTGTGCACATGTACCCTAAAACTTAAAGTATAATAATAATAAAATAAAAAAAAGTTTTAAAATTTATATTATTTACTTTTAAAACATTTTATTAATAAGACACAAACACATACAGTAGCCGAGGCCTACACAGGGTCAGGATTATCAATATTATTGTCTTCTGCCTTTATATCTTGTCCCACTGGAAGGTCTTCCAGGGCAATAACATGCGTGGAACTTTCATCTTCTATGATAACAACGCTTCCTTATAGAATACCTCCTCAAGGACCTGTCTGAGGCTGTTAATCGTTAACTCTTTCTCTCTCTCCTCTCTCCATATATATATGAATTCTTTGGCTCATTATAATCTTATGGGACCACTGTTCTGTAGGTAGTTCATCATTGACCAAAATGTTGTTATTAGGCAGGGCATGACTGTATATTATTTTTATTTACCACTGAATGGCAATATTAAATATGTTACAAGAATGGTTTGCATATTAAATCATTATTATTATTATTATTATTGTTATTGAGACAGAGTCTTGCTGTTGTCGTCCAGGCTGGAGTGAAATGGCACTATCTCGGCTCACTGCAACCTTCGCCTCCCAGGTTCAAGTGATTCTCCCGCCTCAGCCTCCCGAGTAGCTGGGACTACAGGCACACGCCAGCATGCCTGGCTAATTTTTGCATTTTTAGTAGAGATGGGATTTCACTCACCATGTTGGCCAGGCTGGTCTCAAACTCCTGACCTCAGTTGATCCACCCGCCTTGGCCTCCCAAAGTGTTGGGATTGCAAGTGACCACTCCCAGCCTTAATTCCTTATTATGAAGACATGTAATTCATGTAACAAAAGCAGTAAAAATGTCTAGAATCCTATGTACTTTCCAGAATGCTGTCAAGAGCTAAGCTGCCATGGAGTTGAAATAGCTAATTAAAACAATAAGCCAAAATGACAGTAACAGTCAAATCTTTACTAACTGAGATAGTTTAAGCTAGAAACTAAACAGGAAAGATCGCTAGCTCCTCCAATGTTCCATTTTCTCCCATGAAACAGCTCCAGGCCAAGGTCATGTAGATCAGCACAAATGCAGATGTGGGAATTTTCTCAGCAAGAATCTTTTGACCAAGGAGCCATGAACAAAAAGCTCCTTTCATCTTATGGACCTGGGTCCTTGGGACAGAAAGAGGAGGAAGGGCTAAGAATGGGAAAATACTGAGTTCTGATTCAGAATAGAGAATAATGTTTTCAAGGTTTCCCCTTTCTCCTCTCCCTTATCCCTCTCTCCCCATCATAAGGAGTTCTCTGCAAAGGTTTTCTATTGAGGGTCCCTAATAAGGATAGCTCAGATGAGGGTGCCTGAGACTTGAATGGCAGACATGCACAGGAGGATGGTTGGCTAGTGGGGAATGAGTCCTAGACTGCAGCTCCCATTAGACATTTTAATGCACTGGCTGTTTGCCAATTCTGGTATAGGGAGAGTATCTTTCTCTCATGAGGCCTGCCAGGTAAAGCCATTGTAATGGCCTATGGTTAGGCCTGAAAGATTACAAATAGGGTTTCTGCCTGGAGTTGGACTCCTCAAATGCCTTTTGGATTTTCTGTCAAGTGGTAAACATTAATGGAAGATTAAAACAACTCCAATTTGACAAGACAACTAAGGGCATTGTTCATGAAGAGTGGGCTCTTGCTGTGGAAACTTGGATAATTTAGGATACTATAGAGAAGTGTGGAATGAATAATATAAAAAGAATGGTACAAATACCATCCACAGTTCCATGATCAGTTATAAAATTAAGTATGTAATACATTCTTGTGTTTTCTTCTCTTCTGCATTGTCATGTATATAATTGTTTGTCTTATTTTATCTTCCATTTTTCCCATTATTTTTTAGGGTAGGCTGGTTTGAATAACTTCATAATTTATTATCTTATTTCAGGATATTAAGACATAGTTGAGACTGAATCCGAAGAGGAGTGAATATCATGGATACCTATTTTGGATAGGACCACTGCATTTTAATTTGTACAACATATATTTGAATTATATTTGACAGGATCATGTACTTGTTACTGTTGCTCTTTTGAAGTTTAAGCTTTAGAAAAGGCAGGTGCATGGATATTGAATAGTCTTAAGCTGGATCATCAGCTATTTCAGACTGGCTTACTCAGGCATATTCCAAAACTCTGGTAGTTTGACTAAGTACTTGCTCAATTTGGAACAGCTAAAAACGATATCCCCAGGCTTACTCACAATTCAGGTTTTACATTAAACCTACCTTCTTTAAGGAAAAGAGCCTGAGATAGAAGGCGCCTTCCTATTCTTTTTCCTGACAAGCAATGTAACAAAACCATTTACTTTCCTGTAACAACAGTCACAAAGGACCAAATGTCCAGTCCTTAGTTCTGTGGCCGACATTCTGTGTTATTCAAATATGAACCATGGCTGAGATCCTATGATCAAGAAGCAAGCAGCTATGACAGAAGTATTTTAATGCTTAGAGAAAAAGAAACAAAGGTAGCAACTCACTGTTAGGTTAGGGTTAGTCTGCAGATACCTGGATTAAGATATTTTAAGCCACTGTGTGGTCCCTGGCTGACCAGAGTGAGTTCATTTATATCTATCTCCTCTATTTGGATAATAATAAAAACATAACAGAGGGAGACGGATTCCGTAAATATGACTGTTGAAAATGTTATAGCTACAGAGGATCCAAGAGGTATGTTTGGTAGTTGGACTAATGTATTGTTTGGATCAAATAAAATATGTGTTAGAGAATGCAACTGTTTATTCACAATATAGGGGCACCGTTAAAGCCCAGATCAATCAGGAAGGTGGCAAACTGTCTCACATTTCCTGCCATGTAAATCAGAAATATTGTGTAGAACAGAACATATATACAAGCTAAAATAAGTAAACACAAAACAAAAGATAGTGACCAAAATCTTTAGCAAGAAGAGGTGCATCACAAAAGGAAAGAGGAACAGGAATGACCTGATATGAAACTATAAGGTACCCCTGTAAGAGATATGAATGGAGGCTGCTAGAGTAAGTCTAAGGCCAACAATGTAGAGAGAAACAGATGAAATTTTTCTTTGTATTGTTAAATTAAAATGCAAACATTCGAGCTTCCCAGATTCCACATCAAAGTAGAAAAAAAAAAAGAAATTTGCATTAGAAATGTGTGTCTAGCTTTTATGAAGTATGACAGAAAAAATTATTGTTTCTCAAAGCAGTTTTTCTAAAAGTACATTTGTAAAATGGACAATGTGCCTCAAGTTACAAAAAATTATTTTCTTATTCTCTATGTAAATATGTTTCCCATGAGTACATTTAATGATGTTTAGACTAACAATTTTGTTTAAATTTTAAGTTAATAAGATAAACTTTGAAACTGGGAAAAAAACAAATAGCAAAGTTAGCATAATTTTAGTGCCAGTGGTTGCACAGGAGATCCTGATTCTCCAGCTTCTCAGTCATGGCAAAAGGAGCAACAGTCCCAGCTCTGTCGTTTTTGTGGTGGAGTTCTAGCAATCATTTAGAAGATCAGCCCAAGACCTGCTCCACCAACTCTCCAATTGTGTAAGAAACTAATTCTATATATTAAATTTTGTTTGCCTATATTACCTAAAGATTTATTCTTATAATCTATAATGGAAAATTGAAATATTGAGTATGCTGATGAAAAACATTAAATTTTCTTAAACAAACGTTCACTCTTAAATGATAAATTCAATTATAGGAACCAATTTAGGTAGGCATAAAAAGAGAAAAGTGAAAATACAATTGAAAAATTGAAGCAGCTCCACATGCATTCCAGCTTTACAGAGTGAAAGTGTACATGAAATTTTATTGAGAGACAAGAATTTATAATGCATAATTAATTCAAGAATTAATATTATTTGACACAATTTTGAGCATACTAAAAGGTAACTGGATTTTATAATCTAATTAAAAAGTCATATAAGTAAATACAATGAGTATTACCTTTATAAACACTTTAAGACACATTCGAGTATATGCTATAATGGAAATATTCGGCCTGGCACAGTGGCTCACGCCTGTAATTCCAGCACTTTGGGAGGCCGAGGCGGGCGGATCACGAGGTCAGGAGGTTGAGACCATCCTGGTTAACATGGTGAAACCCGTCTCTACTCAAAATACAAAAAAAATTAGCGGGGCGTGGTGGCAGGCGCCTGTAGTCCCAGCTACTCAGGAGGCTGAGGCAGGAGAATGGCGTGAACCCAGGAGGCGCAGCTTGCAGTGAGCCGAGATTGCGCTGCTGCACTCCAGCCTGAGCAACAGAGCGAGATTCCGTCTCAAAAAATAAATAAATAAATTAGTAAATTTTGCATAAGTAAATTATACCTCAGTAAATCTGGCTAAAATACAATGTAAATATGTGTATCAACCACCATTAATTTAAAAATTCTAGGGCCAGGCATGATGGCTTATACCTGTAATCCTATCACTTTGGGAGGCTGAGGTGGGAGGATCCCTTGAGCCCAGGAGTTCAGGACCAGCCTGGGTAACAGGGAGATCCTCATCTCTATAGAAAATTTAAAAACTTAATTAGCCTATCATGGTGGCTCACACCTGTAATCCCAGATACTTGGGAGGCTTTTTTGAGATTATAGTGAGTTATGATCCAGCTACTGTACTCCAGCCTGGTGACAGAGTGACATCTTCTCTCTACAAAAATAAAAATAAAATAAAATCTATGACATTTAACTGATTACATATTTAACCATTTAATTGGAATAAATAATATCCTGATTATGACATTTCAATAGACATATTATTTATTTTAATATTTGAATAAAGTAAATAAAGTCCTATTTTTCTTTCAATTTGTCATTTATTTTATGTTGCTTTGAATACAAAACTAATGCTGCAATTGTGTACACCATTAAATCATTAGGTTCTAATTTCCTTGATCTATTATGAAAAGAGAATTTCAATTTGAATATCCGGGCATTATTTGCAGAATATTGTTATTCTGCAAATATATTCTGTAATATTTAAATATCATAATCAAGCAAAGTCTTAAATGTGACACCTGAAACAATTATAGACAAAGAAAATACTAGTAATATAGCTCACAGATAAAGCTTATTTAGTATAAAGTATGCAAGGAACTTCGGATTCAGACAATATGGCACAGATCCATGTTTTTCCCGCCTCTTTTTGTTATGCACAACTATATATTTTGAAAATGACGCATGTGACTAACATGAAAAAGCTCTAAGAGATGGAGGTAAACAGAAGAAGAGTTAGTTTGATATGCAAGGAATGGTGAAACAGCACAACAGCAAGGCATCTTGTGTATCCTCACTGGACAGAAGAAGGCCTTCAGACTTATTTTTCCTAATCCCCCAATCTAGCAACAGAAGATACCTCAAGTAAGCTCCTTCCTCTCTTGGATCAATCAGGAGCCGCTAGCTTGAGACACCCACCACCATCCAGGAGAAGCAGCTAGGAGAAACGCTAAGAGAGGTACTCTCCTTCCCAGTACAGCTTGAGGCTTCTTTTTCTATCAGGAAGCACAAAGGTGGGAAAATAGAACCAGGAAGAGGGACCTAGTAGAGAAAGTGGCCTGGTCTAAGAAGCTGCTTTGTCCCTGCAGGCCTAAGACTCTCTTCCCAATGACCCCAGAGTAGCCAGGGGACATTGGTTGGGGGATTCTACCACACCCCTCACCAAATACCTCAGACACCTGGTAACCTAACCTGGAGAAACTGCTTCCACTGCCATAGGCAGCACCAACAGGGAGCAGTGGAATTCCCAGCAGCACCACATTAATCAAAGAGTCTGAAATCACAATGCAAAAGCTCTAAACATTAAGTTGGTATTCAAACTACAGCCAAAACAATTGGCCAGTGCAGGACAGTTCTCCATGTGGCCTTGGATTGACCCAGTTCTCTTCCCTTTCTTCCTTGTAGGTCTTAATAATTACAGTAGATTATGCTGGGAATACATTATGGTGAGATAAGGAGGGGCTGATTGGACTAGCCTGGGCCTGTTGCTCTTTCCTCTGGAAGCAGGATGTCCCTCAAAGCTTTAAGTCAATGTTTCACATTGCCTCTGAGGTATATAACCCTGAACAGGCTGTCTTTTAGAGTCCTGGCTAGGCGTGGTGGCTCACGCCTTGTAATCCCAGCACTTTAGGAGGCCAAGGTGGGTGGATCACCTGAGGTCAGCAGTTCGAGACCAGCCTGGCCAACATAGTGAAACCCCGTCTCTACTAAAAATACAAAAAAATTAGCGTGGTGGCAGGCGCCTGTAATCCCAGCTACTTGGGAGGCTGAGGCACGAGAATCGCTTGAACCCAGGAGGCAGAGGTTGCAGTGAGCCGAGACCGTGCCATTGCATTCCAGCCTGGGCAACAAGAACCAAGCTCCATCTCAAAAAAAAAAAAAGAGCCCCTCAGCTGTGGTGCAAGTGGGGAATGCACAGCTGAGACTCGATGTGCCCTAGACAGCTTTCCTGAGTCTTCAGGAATCAGCTCATCATAGATCCTAGCATTCTTTTGTCCCTTGCTGTCTACCTGTAAGTCACAAATCTGCTTTGTGTAACTTGTTGCATATGAGTGTATTCTGTCTCCTGCACTCAGACAAGTTGGTAAGCAGCACACAGTAAACCTAATCCACAAAATGCGTCCAGCAAGCAGTGCCCCATCTAATGTAATCATAGCTTATTTGGGAAGCAGAAGGGGTGATACTTCCTAGTACCCAGCCCAGGGGAAAGATGGCAGCCTGGGGGCATGGGGATTGAATATTTTCAGAGGAAGGAAGGGTGATAAGTGGGATGTAGGTCTGCCACTTCCCTCAGATGTGAATGAGATGGCTGCATGGATCAAGGCAAACAAAAGGCAATGAGGAAATAGAGGGGCATAGATCCCTTGGTTGGGGATATTTATTTAATTACCCTGTCATTCATGGGGGCAGAGAGTGAGGGAAGTGAGTACTCAACCAGACACTAAGGCACCTGAGAGGGAAAGAAGAAAGGGTTCCTCAGATCTTCCTTGAGGCATCTGAGAAGGATTCAATACATGTGATAAAGGCCTTCACAGAAAGGGAGACTCATTATCTAAAGGACAGATATAGAGAAAGGCCAGGTATGTTTCTTTGATGAAAGGACATTGCAAATCCAATGTCTTGGGCTGAATGGCAGTGTCAGAAATGGGACCAAGGTCTCAGGGTCCCCAAATGGAGGCCAAAGGCCTTATATTTCTGTCAAGGTAAGAGGAGAAAAGAAAGAAATTCAGACTTTTTTTTTTTTGATACTGGAGTCCACATAATATTTCCAGGTCTTCTTAGGGAGAAAAACTGGTGACATTGGAAGGTTTTAGAATGAATGCATTGACCAGTAGTGCTTATCTACCTGTGATATGGCTTTGGTCCATATTGGATGTCAGTGACCATGGTTCTCACTTATGAGCACATTATTGGCATTGACCCCCTGACTTCTTGTAGCACAAAAATCACCATTGCCTGAGGAGACATACTCTTTGACAACTCAGAATTCAAGCCATAACAGTGGGGCATATCCTGCCTGCCACCTAAACTACCCAAGCCCCAATGGATTATTTAACAAAAGCAGTACTACATGGTAAAGTGGAGAATAGGATATTACTTTATTAATTCAGGACTACAACAAACTATCCCTTTTAAGCAACCTGTAAGGATCCATTGGATTCTCCTGTGGTGACCTGGGGCCCAGGACTCACAGACATGCTTACTGACAGCATGGCATTGTCACGTGCATCAGTGTGAAGAGACCACCAAACAGGCTTTTTGTGAGCAACAAGACTGTTTATTTCACCTGGGTGCAGGCAGGCTGAGTCCGAAAAGAGAGTCAGTGAAGGAAGATGGGCGGGGGTGGGCATTTTATAGGATTTGGGTAGGTAGTGGAAAATTACAGTCAAAGGGGGTTATTCTCTGGCAGGCAGGGGTGGGGGTCACAAGGTGCTCAGTGGGGGAGCTTCTGAGCCAGGAGAAGGAATTTCACAAAGTAATGTCATCAGTTAAGGCAGGAGCCAGCCATTTTCACTTCTTTTGCTTCTTCACTTGTTTCAGGCCATCTGGATGTATACATGCAGGTCACAGGAGATATGATGGCTTAGCTTGGGCTCAGAGGCCTGACATTCCTGTCTTCTTATATTAATAAGAAAAATAAAACAAAATAGTGTTGAAGTGTTGGGGTGGTGAAAATTTTTGGGGGTGCTATGGAGAGATAATGGGCGATGTTTCTCAGGGCTGCTTCGAGTGGGGTTAGGGGAGGCATGGGAACCTAGAGTGGGAGAGATTAAGCTGAAGGAAGATTTTGTGGTAAGGGGTGAAATTGTGGGCTTGTTAAGAGGAGCGTTTGTCATATAGAATGATTGGTGATGGCCTGGATGCGGTTTTGTATGAATTGAGAAACTAAACGGAAGACACAAGGTGTGAATAAGTGAAGGAGAAAAACAGGTATTAAATGACTAAGAATTGGGAGGACCCAGGACATCCAATTAGAGAGTGCTCAAGGGAGTTCAGCATAATTACTTGTTTGGTTGGTGAGTTTTGGGGCTCTATCCTTGACAGAGTCCTCTTTTTTAAGTTTTAAGTTGGAGGCTGAGCTTGGTGAGGTGTGTTTTTAAAAGACAATTAGTCTGTTCTACCATTCCTGAAGATTCAGGATGTTAAGGGGTATAAAGGTTTTACTGAATACCAAGAGCCTAAGAAACTGCTTGGGTGATTTGACTAATAAAGGCTGGTCCGTTATCAGACTGTATAGAGGAGGGAAGGCCAAACCAAAGAATTATGTCTGACAGAAGGGAAGAAATCATCATGGTGGCCTTCTCAGACCCTGTGGGAAAGGCCTCTACCCATCCAGTGAAAGTGTCTACCCAGACCAAGAGGTATTTTAGTTTCCTGACTCAGAGCATGTGAGTAAAGTCAATTTGCCAGTCCTGGGTGGGGGCAAATCCCTGAGCTTGATGTATAGGGAAGGGAGGGGGCCTGAATAATCCCTGAGGAGTAGTAGAATAGCAGATGGAACACTGAGAAGTGATTTTTTGAGGATAGATTTCCACAATGGAAAGGAAATGAGATGTTCTAAGAGGTGGGCTAGCAGCTTGTAACCTACATGGAAGAGGTTATGCAATGACGACAGAATAGAATGGGCCTGTGAGGCTGGAAGGAGATATTTTCCTTGGTCAAAGAACCATTTGCCTTGTGTGGGAAGAGACTGATAGAAGTTTCAGTCAGTGAGTAGGTGGGAGTGACCGATGAGAAGGAGAAAAACTGGCCATGAGGGACAGAAGTTGGAATGCTAGCTGCTTCTTTAGCTATGTTATCAGCATAAGCAATGCCCTGAGCAATGGGATCTGATGCCTTTTGATGGCCTTTGCAGTGAATGACTCCAGCTTCCTTTGGAAGTAAAGTGGCCTTGAGAAGAGCTTTTATTAAAGAGGCATTAATGATGGAGGACCCTTGCGCAGTGAGGAAACCTCTTTCTGCCCAAATAATGGTATGGTGGCGTAGGATATGGAAGGCATATTTAGAGTCAGTTTAAATATTGACGTGTAGTCCCTTTGCAAGAGTGACGCTCGAGTTAAGGCAATGAGTTTGGCTTGCTGAGAGGTAGGGGAGTGGGGCAGAGCGGTAGCCTCAATGATAGATGTGGAAGATACTACAGCATAGCCTGCCTTTGCTGGTGAGTGGCAATTAGGCCTGGTGGAACTGCCATCAATAAACCAAGTGTGCTTAGGGTGAGGAACAGGAAAGAAGGAAATATGGGGAAATGGAGTGAATGTCAGGTGGATCAGAGAGATACAGTCGTGGGGGTCAGGTGTGGTATCCGGACTAATGTGGGAGGCCAGATTGAAGTCCGGGCCAGGAAAAATGGTAATTGTGGGAGACGCAACAAAGAGTGAGTATAGCTGAAGGAGCTGGGGAGCAGAAAGTATACGCATCAGGTGTTAGGAAGAAAATAGATTTTGGAAGTTATGAGAACTGTAGAGAGTGAGTTGAGCATAGTTTGTGATTTTTAGGGCTTCTAAAAGTATTAGGGTGATGGCAGCTGCTACATGGAGACATGACGGCCAGTGCAGATGCTGAACTAACCTGTAAGACTTGTCTGGTTTTTGAATAGGTAAAATGGGAGAATTGTAAGGAGAGTTTATAGGTTTTACAAGCCCATGCTGTAGCAGGGGAGTGATAACAGGCACCAAATGTCACACACGTCCATGTGAAGAGACCACCAAACAGACAGCGCCTGAGCAATAAGGCTGTTTATTTCACTTGGGTGCAGGCAGGCTGAGTCCAAAAAGAGAGTCAGTGAAGGGAGATAGGGGTGGGGCCATTTTATAGGATTTGGGTAGGTAGTGGAAAATTACAGTCAAAGAGGGTTGTTCTCTGGCGGGCAGGGGTGGGGGTCACAAGGTGCTCAGTGGGGGAGCTTCTGAGCCAGGAGAAGGAATTTCACAAAGTAATGTCATCAGTTAAGGCAGGAACCAGCCATTTTCACTTCTTTTGTGATTCTTCACTTGCTTCAGGCCATCTGGATGTATACCTGCAGGTCACAGGGGATATGATGGCTTAGCTTGGGCTCAGAGGCCTGACAGGCATGGTTTACTGATAGCTCTGCCAGACAACGTGCACTGGGCCACCATTCAGCCAGTGGATGGCTATCTTTTGACTGAGACTGGACATGGGCATTCTACCCAATGGGCCAAACTAAATGCAGTGGTGATGGCCATGCAGGCTACCTCTATCGCATATCCTGCCATATTTTCAGTGACTTATGGGCCATTGCCAAAAGCCTAGTCATCTGATCAGGACAATGGCAATGGAAGGATTGGACTGTTAGAGGATCTCCATGTGAGGACAAGGACTAAGAAAAACAGCTTGTTGTCTGAAAAAGACAAATATATGTCAATCATATGGGTGCTGAGGCAACTATAGCCACACTTGAGAGGAATTTATGCAATCCTTTTACATAGCCCATGGGATTTTACTTGGACCAAGGGATATTTTTTGCTATTCAAGCAACTAGATAATGGGTACACATTAGTGAAAAAAGATGCGCTTTTTAAGTACATTGTCATCCTCAGGCCAACAGAGTTATTGAATAATGGAACTCACAAAGCAACTGAAGAAAGAACATCAAGATGTCCTGCTGGTGAGGGGGTAGCCCATCTGACTAGGGCAATAGGGACACTAAACACTATGCACCAATGCAAAGGAAACAGCACTGCAGTTCATATTGAGGGACACTGAGCTTGGTTGGGGTGGAGGTGGATGAGAAACCTACCTGACTAGGCTGTCTGTGCCTGTAAAGTCTCAGTCTGTGTTCTCAACCATTCTTTTTCCTTTTTCCCTATAGAGTACATGTCCTGGGGATGAATTGCAGTTCAGGGTGCCATAGTACCCCAGAGAGGCCACCCTGTCTCTAATCTGGAGTTTATACTTCCCTTGGGTACCTCCCCTATAAGGGGATTCCACAGGGGTGGAGGACAGGACTAAGGAATGACAGACTGCTAGAATCCTTCTAATGATGCTGGATACCTCTGATCCTTCCATTTGGGTGGATGATTTATGAGATATGCCAAATTTGTACTGGAGTGGATGATTGAGGCAGAAAGGTCGGAGTCAAGCAACAAGGGCAATGGGTGTCTGCAGAAGTAACTTGGGACTAAAACAGACAGACCGGGTTGCTATACCAACTCAGCCTAATTCTTATCCAATAGGTAGAGAACATCTGAGACCCTGGAAAGGGTGAGAGGTGGGCATTAAACTGTCAGTCTGCTTTTCCACAAGGATGGGGCATTATAGGCCTGTGAGCATAATGCCTTAGTGGGCTCTTCCAAAGTGTGACCACCATGGGTAACCTGACAAAGTGCTGGATGCTCCATCCACGACCTCGTTCTCTCATTGACTAGAATGATCCTTTCGTCTTGCCAGTGGTTAACTATTCCAGCACTCCTAATGCCACAGAGTACAGTAATGGACCCTAAGTCCTAGCTTACTGAGTGAGGACCTAGCACATGCCACATAGGAAGAATTCAAAGGTGCTATCTTTTAACTTAAATAACTTTGTGGAAAAATGTCATGACCACAACTAACGAATCTTTGGTGGGCAGGTGCTTTGATGCACCAGTCTCCTTTAATTACAAGGATGTGTGTTCATGATGATGAAGAGAACAAGTATCCGAAGAGTGCTAGCCCTCTGCGTAGGGGCTTTAGGATTGTATGGGGTAAACTGTATGAGGAAAACTCAGGCAACTACTGCCATCAATGAGACTTAGCTAGTGAGTGCCAATACCTTCATCCTCATAAATAATACTAGCACAGGGGGTCTGTGTGTGCCAGAGGGCTACATCTTTATCTGTGGGCAATCTGGGGTGACTCAAATGCGGGGTGGGCAAAGTCATGCCTGGAAAACTTACAGATCCTGCCCCATTGAGTGTGCTAGGGATGCTCCTAGAATTCACCCCCAAAATGAAGTGCTCCATTGACTCAGGAGCCTAATGCTGTATACCAGACTTACCAAAGACCTGACTGGATGTGTAACTGACTTTGGGTTTATGTCTTTTATGAGATCTTTGGTACCATTCATAGGAGTTATTGCTCATAAAAAAATGAAAAGAAACCTGTCCCAAACCATGGCAAATATTGCCTCCTCCATTGCCACTGTCTTAGAAGCCAAGGAAACATCTCCCAGATCCACCCAGAAAGTTATTTTAAACAACAGAATTGTTCCAGACTTTTTTTGTTTGAGATGGAGTTTCGCTCTTGTTGCCCATGCTGGAGTGCAGTGGTATGATCTCAGCTCACTGCAACCTCTGCCTCCCGGGTCTAAGTGATTCTCTTGCCTCAGACTCCAGAGTAGCTGGGATTATAGGCGTGCATTACCACTCCTGGCTAATTTTGTATTTTTTTTTTTTTTTTTTGTAGAGACAGGGTTTCTGCATGTTTGTCTGGCTGGTCTCGAACTCCTGACCTCAGGTGGTCCACCTATCTTGGCCTCCCAAAGTGCTGAGATTACAGGCATGAGCCACTGCACTCGGCCCTCCAGACTTTCTTTTAGCTCAACTGGGAGAAGCGTATACAATTGCCAACACCTCTTACTGTATTGGGATAAACATCTTAGGTATTGTAGAAACATAGGTAGAGGAGATCCAGAAGCTGACCCATTGGTTGTAGACAGTGGGGCCACCTGAAGAATCCTTCTTTAACCTCTATGGCAACCTCTTATCTAGATCTTTGAGACCCAGGGCTAGATTACTACTGCAGAGAGGTCTGGCTGTGCTGCTAGTGGTAGTAGTCCTCCTGGGACTAGTAAAATGTATTCTGGCTATGACTCAATGATGTTTCACTGAGACAGAGTCAGCCAAGGTGTTACATTGATCTGACAAGACAAACCTCCACCTCCAGATCTGGAGAGGTCAATGGGCATGTGAAATACACTAGCTTTTCTAAGGGAAATATCTTGGTTGGAGCAGGAGACTGCAGGTCAACTTTCCAGGTGTCCTTGGACTGACCCAATTATCCCCTCTTTCTTGCTTGTAGTTGTCAAGAGCAACTGTAGTATATGCTGAGAATGCAATATCCTGAGACAGGGAAGAACTGCCTGGAACAGCCTAGGCCTTGTTACTCTCTCCCTTGACAGAGAGATGTTCTTCAAAACCTTAGGCCATAGTTTCCCATTGGTCCTGAGGTTTGTAACCTAGGGCAAGCTGTCTTGTGGGGTCCCTCAATTGTGGTACAAGTGGGGCATGCACAATCACTCCATCCACTTCAGGCACTTCACATGCACTCCATCCACTTCAGGCAACTTTGTTGAGCTTTGGGCTACTGGCTCATAATGGACCGGCTCACATAGGTATCTGTTGTCTCTTGCTGTTTGTCCGTAAATGATACATCTGCTTTACGTAATTTGTTGCATATGTGTGTTCCGTTTAACTGAACTCAGACAAGCTAGTAAATAGTACACAGTGTACCTGCCCCACACCCAGGATGTACATGCTAAAGCTAAACAGTGTGACTGCCTGCCAAAAGGAACAGTTTAAATAGAGCTCAGAATTGTCTGCCATGATAGACAAAGTGTCCAGAATATAATTACAAATCACCGATCATACAAAGAACCGAGAAAAATAACAATTTGAGTGAAAAAAGACAGTTAACTGACACCGACACCAAAACGCATCAGATGTTGGAATCATCTGAATATGATTTTAAGATATCTAGCAAAAATGTTTCAACATCAAATAGAAATTATCTTAAAATATATAACAAAATAGCAAAATATTAACCAAACTTGATTTGTAAAAAAACAAACAAAAAAAAGAACCAAATGTAAGTTATAAAAGCAAACAAACACGGTAACAGAAATGAAAAATGTGTTGGATGGAGTCAATAGTACCATTGAGATGTGAGAAGGTAGAATCAGTGAATGTGAGGGCAGAATAGTAGAATTTAACCAATTTGAACAACATAAATAAAATAGACTGATACATAAAATGAACGGAGATGTAGGTATGTGTGAGGCAACAACAAAAGATCCAACATTTTTATTACGTGTACCAGAAAAGAAGTAAAATGAGGCTGAAAGAATACTTGAAGAAATAGTGCTTCAAAAAACCCTCAAATTTGCAGAAGACACAAATATATAGATTCAAGAAGCCTAAGATACCCTACACAGAATAAACACATTTCAAGAAACATTTTGATTAAACTTTTAAAAACTAAAGACACAATATTTTTATTTGGTAGTTTAGAAACATAAATCTATCATTTTTAAATTATAAAGGTCAGAAGTCTTAAATCGTTTTCATTAGGCTAAAATCAAGGTGTCAGCAGCACTGCTTTCCTTCTGGGGACTCTAAAGGAGAATACATGTTCTTGCCTTTTCCAGCTTCTAGGGGCTGTCTTCATCTCTTGTCTCTTGTCCGCTTTCCCCATTCCTTGTCTCTTGGTTCTTTCCTCCAGTACAATTAGCAATGTAGTATCTTTAAATATTTTCTACCACACTCTTCCATATTTAAAGGATCCTTGTGATTACATTGGGCCCCCCTAGATAACCAAGTATGATCTCTTATTTTAAGTTCTGCTGTTTAGTAAGCTTAATGTCATGTGCAACCTTAATACTTTCTTGCATTGTAACATCATATATTCTTATATAACATAGCATATCCTTCCTGACATGGAGAATAGGACAGGGACAGTCTTGTGGGGGGTCGGGAGGGCATTATTCTGCTTATCACAGTTAGCAAACAAAGATTTTGTGCCATGAAAACATGGAGGAAATAGCCTTATCCTTATTTTTCTTCAGTCTTTCTCATCAAATAGATCTTTAGATCCAAAAGAGAAGACTCAACATTGCTTTTAATTAAATCTCAAGATGAACGAAGAGGCACTATGAGCTCTGGGCCCTAGTATTGGAGTAGAACTCACTCCAAAACAATGAGAAAGTTTAGGAAAGAGATTTTTAAGTTGCTCTAGATCTCTTTGAGGATTATGGAGAATAGTAAAAGTTTTAGAAGACAAGAAATGGGCAGTGTACTAGTTTTTTAAAGGAAGATAGATCTCATAAACTATAGATGAATGAGTTTGACATTACTTCTGGAAGTAATTTTAAGAAGCATGAAAAAAATACTTTACAAGCACTTAAAAGAATGCTTTGCAATCATGAAACAACATGGGCACACCGAGAAGAAATTGTATCAGAAAAATGATATTTCTTCCTATTTTTTGAATCTTTATCTTGTCCTTTTATTGTTAGTTGGCATGCAATAATTGTACATATTTATGGAAACAGTGATATTTTGATACAGGTGTACAATGCGTAATGATCAAATCAGGGTAATTAGCATTTCAAACACCTCAAACATTTATCATACTTTTGTGTTGACAACATTCAAAATCCTCTCTTCTAGCTTTTTGAAAATATACGATAAATTATAGTTATTTCCATGCGACCATGCTATAGAGCACTACAACAGAACTTATTCCTCCTATATAGCTATAATTTTGTATCCATTAACCAACCTCCCCTCCCACATCCTTCCCAACATCTAATAACCACAATTCTACCATTTACTTTAATGAGCTCAAATTTGTTTAGCTCCTGCATATGGGTAAGGACAGACAGTATTAATTTTTCTGTGTCTGACTTATTCCGCTTAACATAATGTTTGCTAGTCTTATCCATGATTCTGCAAATGACAGAATTTCATTCTTTTTATGGCAGAATAGTATTCATATATATATATATATATATATGAATGTATATACAAATTTGGTATATGTATATACCACATTTTTTATCTATCCATCCATTGATGGATATTTAGCTTAATTCTATATCTTGGTTATTGTGAAGACAGCTGCAATAAATATGGAGGTGCAGATGCCTCTTAAGTGTAATGATTTCCTTTTCTTTGGATAAACACCTAGTAGTGGGATCACTAGATCATATGGTGTCTCTATTTTTGTTTTGAGAAACCACCATACAGTTTTTCATAATAAGTGAAATAATTTAACTTACCACCAACAGTGTATGGTAGTCTAATTTTTCATGTCTTACATTTAAATTTTTAATCCATTTTGAGTTTATTTTTGTATAAGGTGAGTGATAGGAGTCTAGTTTCATTCTTCTGCATATGGATATCCAATTTTTCCAGAAGCATGTATTGGAGATTGTGTCCTTTCCCCAATGTAGGTTGTTGACAAAACTAAAGACAAAGTCTTAAAAGCAGCCAGATAGAAACAGTCACCTACAGGTGAAACATTACCTATAGAGGAAAACCAATGTAAACGAAAATACGTTTTTTCATCTGAAACAATGGAGGTCAGAAACAAGTTACACAATATTTTTCAGGTAGCGAAAGAAAAGAGCTGCCAACTCTGAATGCTACGGATGTTGTAACTATGCTTCTGGAATAAAGGGAAATTATATTTTTTGAACTGTTTAAAAATTTGTTGTTAGCAAGCTTACCATTAAATGTTTACTAAAAACTGTTATTCAAACAAAATAAAGAAAAA
Organism: Homo sapiens; assembly: GCF_000001405.40. Lineage (NCBI taxonomy): Eukaryota > Metazoa > Chordata > Mammalia > Primates > Hominidae > Homo > Homo sapiens. Next base: position 131,659,570 of record NC_000004.12, on the reverse strand, counting down.
AAGGAATTTTGAACATCAAGAAAGAAGATATATTAATAGAATTAGCAGAAATATGAATACATCCAATAGATGTGTTTTCCTAGTGAGTTTTATAAATCATAGTTGATGATAGAAACAAAAATTATAACTCCATTTGATACTAAAGGAAGTGATACTTAAAAGTATAGAAGATAAAGGAAAATAAATATAAGCTGAGCTTCCTTGCTTTAATCAAAAGGGTAAAACCATTGGTATTTATATGTTGTTTTATAAATCGGATATTAAATCAGGTATTAAAATATGAAGAGTAGCATAAAAAGTATATACAAATTTCCAAAGCAAAGAGTGTATATTGTAGATGTATTCAAACATTGTAAGTAAAGCAACATGAAAGCTTGAGTAGCACACAGTAAGTCCAAAAAAAAAGGAAAACTGAAAAATGAGAACAAAACAAATGAATATGTAGTAAATAATAAAATGAAATGCTTAGGTTTTAGTACATTAATAATTACATTAAAGTGACATAAATACACCAATTGAAAGAGAAATTAGCTGAATAAATAAAAAAATGCAACCTAACTATTGCTATAGTAAGAAATACACTTTAATTCAATAGTATCAGTAGGTTGAAAGTAAAATAATATAAAAATATATACCATGGAAATATTTATCAATAAAAGGGCAAAGGTGGCTATATTAATATCTGATAATCTAGAAGTTAGATTCAAAAAATCTTACAAAGAACATTACTAACAACAGAGGAGGCAGTTAGAGCCTGGCTAGGCAGATAGAGAGGAAGGGTCTTGGGAGAAAGACAGCGCCCATGGGAGTGCACCTGCACTACCTTTGTGGTGTAGCTAGAATGTGGAAATGTGGTTAACAACTTCCTCTTATACCAAGATGTCTCTCAGAAGGCACTGTCCCAATTATGTTTCAATAAATCAACTAAATGTCCTTAACTTGACCCAGAGCTAATTGTAATATCATTAGCATTGCAGTTTTGGTGCTCCCATGAATTTTGCTTAGGCACTTATGCCTAATAACCAAGATGGAGTCACTACTGCCAACCCCAGGTATGCACAGACAGAACACTCCCAGCAGGGAATTTTACCCCTTCCATTAAGGCAGGACCCACAAAGGACTTCCTTGTTTCTGTCACATAAAAGACTCAGAACTCAGCCCCATTTCTGGCAACCCTTGTTTGGGTCCCCTCTTGCTGCTGAGAGCTTTTCTGTTGCTTAATAAATGCTAATTTGCCTTACTCACTCTCCGGTATTTGTGTGCCTTATTCTCTTGGTTGTGGGACAAGATCTTGGACCTCACTAAATTAAGGAGTGAGGAGACTGCAACACTAATTATAAATGGATCAATTCACCAGTAAACATAACAATTCTAAATATATATGCACCAAATAACAAAGTCTTAAACAACATGAAGAGAAAAATTATAGAACTAAAAAAAAAATAAATGATAGTTGTGGGTTTTAACAGCCTTATCTCAGCAATTGATAGAATTATTGGACAAAAATTTAACAATCAGCAAGCATGTAGAAGATCTGTACAGCACAATCAACCAACAAGATTTTATTCACACACACACACACACACACACACACATATAGATAAATATATATGTCAATTATATATATATATATCTAAATATAGAATCAGTCCACACAAAACAGCAGAATATACAGTTTTTCAGGAGCTCATGAAATATTAACTAAAATACTAGATGATTTCTTGCACCATAAAACAAACCCTGATACATTTAAAAGAATTTATGTCATGTAGAGTATGTTCTCTGACCATAGTGGAATTAAAATAAAAGTCAGTAACAGAAAGACAGCAGGAAAATGTTTAAATGCATTTCAATTATACAACACAGTTCCAAATGATCTATGGATTAAACATAAAGTCTTAAATAAAAATCTAAAAATATATTTAAACAAATGAAAGAAAAATACAACATATCAAAATATAGGAAATACAGCTAAGGCTGTGGTGGGAAAGAAATTTATAGTACTAAATGCTTCATTAAAAATGAGAAAAGATCTCAAATCAATAACTTAACACTTGTATCTCAAGAAACTAGAAAAAGAACAGAGTAAACTGAAAGCAGACAGAAGAAGAAAAATAATCATGACAGTAACAAAAATTCATGAAATTGAAAACAGAAAAAAATGAAGCAAAAAGCTGGTTTATTGAAAAAAATCAATCAATTGATAAACATCTATCAAAACTGACAAAAATAAATAGAGATGACACAAAACTCAACAGCAACTTTTTAAAAAAAACGCAAATGATCCAATTAGGTAATGGACAAAAGACATCAATGGACGTTTTAACAAGAAAAATATTCAGATGTCAAATAATCCATGAAACATATTCAATATTATTAATCATCATGGACATGTCAAATAAAACCATAGTGAGACATTTCTATACACCTATCAAAATGTCTTTTAAAAATTGTGACAATAGCAAAACCTATTCAGGATGTAAAAATATAGGATCACTCATACGTTGCTAGTGGAAAAGTAAAATAATAGAGCCACTCTGAAAAATAGTTGACAGTTTTTTAAAAAGACAGACATGTTATTCATTCTTTCCACATTTTTTTTTGTGCTGATTAACCTTCTCTACCTCCTCTCCAATGCCCCAGTATCCTTACTAGCTTCTGTGGGCACTTAGTGTACCCATAAAATTTTAAGAAAATAATTTAAAAAATGTTTAAAGTAAAATAAAAACCAGATATGCATAGACCATAGACCCCAGCAATTGCAGTTGTGGGTGTTTAATTTGGAGTAATGAAACTTGTGTTCCCACAAAAACTTGTTCATGAATGTCTATAACAGCTTAATTTGTTACAGTTGAAAAGGTCAATAAACCCAGGTGAATGTTTAATTTGTGGTGAATTTATACCAGAAACCATGAAATACTACTCAGTCATCAAAGGAACAAAATATTAATTAATGCAATCATTTGGATGTATTTTTAGGAAATTTTGTCGAGTGAATAAAAGTCAATTATATACATTATGTACAACAGTACAAGTAAAAGTAGGCAAATATGAGTAAGATTGATAGATTATCAATATCAATATCTTGGATATGATATTATAGATATTATATTATAGCTTTCAAAGTGTTACAATTTGGAGAATCTGGACCAAGTGTACAAGAGAACTCTTTCTCTGTATTATTTCTTATAAATTGACATGAATATACAACTTCAGTTTAAAATATGCAATATGCAAATATATTATACCTATTAAGACTTTAATATAATAAAATATATTATACCTGTTAAGATTTTAATATAATAAAATTTATTATACCTGTTAAAACTTTCTACTATATTGTAGAGTATACAATATTTAGATTTCACAGAACCAAAAGTAAGGAAAGAAAACAGCAAGTTTAAGGGAAAGTACATTTAATAGAGAAATAAACAGGTCAAAAATCAGGGAACTACACAATAATTAATGTATCACTCATCCATTCACAGGATTTGCTTAGTATCTGGCTACTTGTTTTTCATTATTTTAAAAAACATATATCTAAACAAAATAGAAGTAGTCATGAGAACTCAGAAGAACAAAAATGTGTTGACAACTGTTTCGTCAGAACAAATACTCAAAATAGAATAAAAATATAGCTTGACAAATTCTAAACTACTAGTATGAAGAAGTCTGTGTCCTAGTTTAAGAGAAAGTGTTTTTAATAGAAAGTAGCACAAATAACAAAAAATCTGGGCAATGATCTTGGAATATAGAAGAAAAAACATCACAATAATATTTAATAAATGAAAATAATGTATATGGTAAATATAAACTTCATCTGTAAAGGTTGTGAAAAACTGAGAAGTTGATTTCATCCCCTAGGGAATAAATAAGAAATTGATAGAGGTCAACTAGTGGGAACTTCTGAAGGTTTGTTTGTAGTGGGAATATTGGAAACAACGTTAGTGTGTCCTATGAGATTGAAAATATATAATAAGCATGAGCTTTTGTAGGAAAATAACAAAAGATGCATTTTAAAATAATTGCAGTTTGTTCTTCAAACAAACTTAGAGGTGATCCCGAACTTTATGAATTCAGCCTGCATGCCTTCTCCTGAGCATTCTTGAAGATTCGTGACTTAAATTTGTGTAAATCTAATTATGTTGTTATTTCCCAAGCCAATATGAACCAAACAGACAATTTTAGACCTAAAATTGGTAATCACTATGTAATTTCATAAGAATAATTCCATTTTTGAAATTATTCAAGTATTAAAGTATTTCTAAATTTAAATATTAGAATGCTGTTTGATCACTGACCTAATACATACTTAGCATCAATTTTTTGCATGCATTGAACTTTAATATGAGAAATGAAGCACCCTAACATTTCAGTGTTACATCTGGGCAACAAAAGCCCTATTATTTTCCCCTCATAACTTTCAAACAGTTGCTACTTACTGTCTTTGTATCACCATTGATATATACAGAAAATTAATCAGGCTTACTTTCACAGAGGTTAAATAATTTTCTCAGGAAAAAGTCACAATTAAAAGCAGAATCTTGAAACAGAAAACAGACTCTTTGCCACGTAAATGTCTTCTCCAATTTACCACATTTTCTACCACTCATCTGTTATATCTAGATGTCAAAGTCATAAAATAAGTTCTGAGCATAATTTCCATGAAAAATTGGTTTTGTTCTTATTTTAGCTTTATGCTTTATATATGTAAGTTGTGAAATTATATATGTATATTTATGTATAATATTTATAATTATTATATAATACTATATATGATATATTACAATATTATTTTATATATTATTAAATATTTATATAAATATAATATTTATAATACTTAAATGAATAAGCTGTATCTAAATATATATTCATTTAATAATTTTGAAATCATAGTTTTACAAACTACTTGATTCTGTTCCAGTTTACTTTAATGCATCTTTTCATTAACTTCTGACAAACAACGATGATCAACAATGATTACTTTTTAGTGCCTCCAATTTATAGTTTGGCTAATTTAATTATAGAAAGGTTAATTGACACGGCATGTGTGTAAGCCTAGGCCCCAATCCAGAGCTCTTAGCCTAGGTATCACATCTCACCTATATTCAATGTTTACTAAATGGCAGGTACTTTCAACATGCACAAATTACAGTATTCAAAGATTAAAGCAAAATATAAAATAAATATATGTCCAAAATAATGGGATAATACATCATTACTTAGAGAAAGTTAAGGGCTACTCAGTATAGGTACATAACTAAAGTCTAAATTTGGGGTGATATTTTTGGAGGACAATTTAGGAAAAAATAAATATCAACTGCAAAGACCTGAAGAATGTCCCCGTGTGGCAGCAAAAAGTAGAACTAGAGTATAGAATTAGGAGTAGGACAAGGAATGTTGGCTGCATGTTTTAGCAAGGACAAATTCTAAACCATTTCCTCTTTCATAATAAAGAATGCATATTTTGTCTCAGACGATTTTTAAGGACTTAAGAAAGTAGTGTAATGATAAAATTTTGTTTTTGTATCAAACACTGACTTTTCTGGGAGGAGAGTTTGGGAAGGCGTAAGACCATGCCATAAATTATTATAATAATCTAGGTTAAAATACTACTTATGGAAGAACTTAAATATTGGTAATTGAAAAATGGAAAATCGAGAAATTATATATGATATATATTTATTATATATATTATATACTGTATATTAATATTATATATTACACTTTATAATTATAATATATTAGATATATAATACCTCAGTGGGACTAAATTAGCCCAGAAGTTTTTGACCAAGGGAATGGGTAATCATGTTATTCACTGAACCAAAGAACACACAATATGATCCAAATTTAGTAATAATCTAATGAATTGCCTTTTAGTTCTTTGAGTTAGATATTCCTGTGTGATGTTCAAGAGAAGAAAAAAATGTCTTGTGTTTAATTGGATAAATACACATAAAATTTAAGGGCAAAATTTGAAGACATTTTAGTTACATCAGGAAGAATGGAAAAGAATGGAGGATGTGACCTCTGAGGTATACGGAACTTGAAAACAGAAAATGCTCAAGTACAAAATCCTGAGGAACTGGAATATTTTAGCTTGTGAAACCGGGTCACTGTGCACTGGTTACCAACATCTGAGTCTCGCGAGACAGAATAGCCCCACACCACAAGTTACATGAAGGAGGCTTATTATTTACAGAAATGCAGAAAGGGACAACAGAAGCTTATGATTCACTGCAAACTGGGCCCCCAAGGCTCAGGAAGCTATCTGGGGTGGATGATGTCTCATCTGTGTGTGCCCCACTTACACCACAGCTAAAGAATCCTGAAAAGTAGGCATCCGTGAATTTGATACCACAAGGCTATGGACATCCCTGAGCTAAAGTGTTCAATGGCATCCTGTTTCTACATAGGGACTATAACAGAGCTTGAGCTATTTCATCCAACTCTTTCTTATCTTAAGATGTTGCATTCCCAGCACATTCTAGTTATTTTTGAGAACTGTAAGTGAGAAAAGTGAGAAAACTGGGTTGCCCAAGGCCACTCAGAGAACTGCCCTGCAAGGGGTAAGAAGAGAACAGTAACTTTAAATCAAAATAATAATAATCCCAAAGTGATTGAAAGAAACAACAGTAATAATACTACAACTATTAATAGTAGTAACAATGAAACTCTGGTTAAATTATATGTCAGATACAGGTTTAAGTGATTTAATTTTTCAAAAAAAAAACTTTTTTCCTATGCTATCCTTAAATTAACTTATTTACTCCACAGAGAAGCCCAGGATGTATGCTATTGTATTTTCTTTAATTTCTAAATGAGAAAACTGTAGAGAAGAGAGGTTAAGACATTTCTAATATCATAACAGTGAGGAATTGATAAAATCTGCATTTACGTCCTGTTCATCAGTCTCCAGAGATAACATTCTTCCCTGTTAGAAGAAAATGCTTAAAGCAGAGTGTGTTGTCACTGAAGGCAAGGAAAGAGAGTCTTCAGAGATGAAGGAAAGAAAAAGATGTGTCTACTGTTGCAGAGATGATAGGACAGGAAATGAAATGTCACCATTGGAATCATCAATAATGGTGTCATTGGTGACCTAAGAAAGGGCAATCAATAGGAGTTCAGGTATCAGCTTATGAAGTGAGAATGAGGAAAGGGGTGTGTGTGTGTGTGTGTGTGTGTGGGGCGGGGGGTGATATAAGACTACAGAGTTTGTTATACTTTAAATGATGATAGAAGAAGGGACTTCTAAAAGGGATAGTTTAAAGACAGTTTAATCAATGGAATGATTGATGGATTTAGGGCTCTCAGGAGTTTGAATAGGATAATACTGGAACAAAGTTGGTAGGACTAACCATATAGAGAAAAAAAGCATATATACCTTGTTCATTGTAATAAATCTAAATGTTGGCTCTTGTAGGAGAGTTCAAGATCACCTCCACCCCACCCCCACTCCTTCTTAGTCCTTAGTGGATTTTTAGCTATATTTAGAAATGAAATTAACGCCAATAAGATTAACAAGAGAAAAGTATACAAATTTTACTAGTTTTACATGTTTATGGGGAACTTCACAGAAGTGCAAAGTTCAAAGAAGTGGCCGAAGCAAGATGCTTTTGTATTTTCTAGGCAAAGAACAATAGAGAAGACATGACAAGACAAAGAAAATCTGGCTAAGGGCAGTATATTTTCCAGGGAAGTCACTAGGAGATACATGGTTGGGGTTATAAAACTAATGGAAGATAAGGTTTGCCTCATTAAGAATTTTTATTCAGGTCCACTGGAGCCTCTAATTCCAAGTCCCTGTTGATAAAGACTATTTTCATGCCCTGGTAATACAAAGGTACCCCTCCCAGAGGAATATTTATGGCTTGCTGCATTCAGGGAGAGAGGTCAGCTAGCTTTTTCTGAAATTACATCTTTTCCAACATTTTCAACTCCAAATAATCAATGTATCAATCTGGCATGTTTTGGGATGGCACATTCTTCCATCTTTCACCAAAACAACAAATACTATATACTTAATGAAATTTCAAAGAAATGCTAAATATTTTATTTTAAAATTAATAGACTATTATTGAATTAACAAAAAGTATCCAATGTTTATGTCTTAATATGGTGTTACAATGACTCTTCCTAATTAAAAACATGCATTTTTCTACTCTGCTCTGATTGGGTTGAAATATACTGTACGCTGGCCAAGCATGGTGGCTCACACTTGTAACCTGTAATCCCAGCACTTTGGAAGGCCAAGGCAGATGGATTACTTAAGACCAGGAGTTGAAGAAACCTGGCCAACATGGTGAAACCCGGTCTCTGGTAAAAATACAAAAATTAGCTGGGTGTGGTGGTGCAAGTTTGTAATCCCAGCTACTAGGGTGGTTGAGACACAAGAATCACTTGAATCCAGGAGGGAGAGGTGGCAGTGTGCCAAGATCACACTGCTACACTCCAGCCTGAGCGACAGAGTGATACTCTGTCTCAAAAAAAAAAAAAAAAAAAGAAAAGAAAAAAAATACTGTATGCTGAATTGTGTCAATTTATTTAAGGAATTTGTTCAAGTCAGAGAAAAGTGCTTCAGAGACTGGGTGTAAGGAGAATTAGGTTAAACAACAGAAGTCTATTAGTGACTGGACAAGCTTACACAAGTAATAAAGCTATCAATTAAATAAACTTTATGAGAATGTATTTAATTGATTTTATAATAAAATTGTTCTGAGATTGCATATTATAGTCTTAGTGATAATCAACTTTAATGATACATTAACTAGCTTATCATTTGTTCATAAGCAGATGAATTTAGAATTTAATTTAGGTTCTCTAAATGAGCAGTTTGAACAATTCTCCATATTGTTTGCTATAAAATAGCCAGGGCAAGAAAATTGATGCTAAAATGAAAACCTTTAGCTGTGTTCTTAAGGTAAATTTACTATTTTCTCAAAACTCAGAAAACATAACTACATGAACACAAGTGCCTTATATGTTATTAAACAACAGGACAACTTATTGGGCTATTGAAAGAAAACTATCAACGTGAGAGGCTGAAGCAATTTCAGCAATAAACTACAAAGTTTTCATTTTATGTACAAAGTTACTGGTCTTCGGTATCTTCATAGTTATAATAAAACTGGTTGAATGATTAAAAAAAGCTGAGACTCATATATGTATTGTAATTAAGGAAGTGAAATTCCGATATCCATGCTTTTCTGAAAAAGTATATCATAGCAACTATTTATATTTGATTATTTATTTATAACCATGGTCCCAACCATAGTAGCTGCAAATGATGACTTATTCTGCTGACTTCAAGAATGGTAGAGTTTATTACAGTTTGATTAATATTAAAAGGAGTGCTATGGCTGTCCTTAGGATATGATATGTTTTCCAAAATTTTTACCTTTGGAAATATAACAAATAATATATAGTCCACGGCAACATCTATAATGAAGCTCTATAAATTCATGTTTTCATTTCTTAGAGACTATAACACCCCCCAAATTTAAACATTTTCAATAATTTATCTATAAGAACTACTAACTATAGAAATCATAAATATAATATTAAAATCACAAAGAATGTAGTATATTACAGGTTTTGTTATAGCTTTATTTTTGTCATGAATATATTAATTGGTGTTTTTATACAGATGCTGTTATCTCTTGGAGCAGCAAAGAAACATATTAGTACATATTTTAAAGGTACCTTTTCAATCATTACTGTCATTAGACTGAGATATATCTATATCTATATATCTATATCTATGGTTCTTCATATATATGAAGAACAATTCATATATTATATATATAATTCTATAAACAGAAAAGAAATAAAACATTGGGCTAATTTGCAATATTTTTCCTCTCAGTAAACAATCAGAATTATTCATGATAGCTTCAATTTAAAATATTTTTGAAAAACTCTTAAGAAGCAGTAGTGTGTTCTCATTGGATTGCAAAATTTCACTCCTTTGAACTAGACTAGCCATATCTCTCCAGAAGTTATATTATAAGCTTTGTGATCTTTTGAAAGATGTGTGATAGAAAACTGTTGTTCTGTTGAGATGTAGATAAAGTATAAACAAATAATTGAGTTTTGGACAGCTGGGTGTCTGTAGCAATTGAAGCAAAAGAAGTCACACTGTGAAGCTTTGAAGAACTAAAGCATCTTGTTCACATAAGTTGACAGCGTAATGAAGAGAACAGAATAAGATAATACATATATTATCATGAGTACTTGTCGGTGATACATGATTCAGTAAACTGGAATTTATATTTATATTATTTATATGGATTATTGGTAAGTGCCTTTTGATTCTATTGCAAACAATTTAGAAAAATTCAAGACAGGCCTAGAAGACAAATAACACTGTCATATGCATCATTTTAATAACCTTTGACTGTTATTGAGTATTAAGCTTTCAAACCCTCTTTCTTTGAACATCTTCTTTCCTCTATAAAACCAGGAAATAGAAACAGGAATTTAAATCATTTGTCCTTCAGTCATATCACAATATCGTAATCCTCACCCTGCAATAACCTTAATGTGGCATCATTGAGGGAGAATGGTTTTGAATAGTCATATTCTATTATTTCAAATATTCTTTTTCTTTCACCTACAAAAATCATATGATAAATGAATTTGTAATGTGCCTGTAAAGATTGAATTATTTATCTAAAAATCTGTATCGTTATGATAAATTAGATCATATAATACTATTTCACTTCCAATATAGGATGCCATATGAAGAACAATTCTGAGACTCAGAAATCTGTGTATCTTTGGATGAGATAAATACCTTGCAAAATACATTTGTAAACTTGTATGCTGTGGGCATATTTTGTGTTCATATTCACATGTGTGTGCACATGTGTGGGTGTGTGAATATTATCCAATATATATTCTTATTTATATATG